>NC_000011.10:105657273-105960303 GCF_000001405.40 Homo sapiens | reverse complement strand
GGCTCAGGGACAGAATTAGCATCTCCCTGGGCCTGAGCTCCTAGAGGCAGGGGTGGCTGCAGTCTCTGCGGACCAGCAGACTTAGCCTCTCCTCCTGGTAGTTCTGAGGAATCGGGCAGCTCACATGGGTGGGTCTCCCCCCAGCAAAACACACCCTCTCCACCAAGGGACAAAGTGCTTCATTGAATAGGTCCTGCTCCCTGTGCCACCCAACTGAATGAGACCCTCCAACAGGGGTTGTCAGACACCCTATCGCCAGAGCGATCCTACTGGCATCAGGTTGGTGCCCCTCAAGGTGAGAGGTCCTAGAAGAAGGAGCAGGCAGCCATCCTGGCTGCTTTCCAGCCTCCTTGAGTGACATCTTCCTGCACAGGAGCAAATCAGATGAATAGGGCCTAAAGTAAATCTCCAGCAAACTGCAGCAGCCCTACAGAAGAGGGCCCTGATTATTGAAAGAAAAACAAACAAACAGAAAGCAACAACCGCATCAGCAACAACAACAACAAAAAGTCCCCCACAAACACCCCATCCAAGGGTCAGCAGCCTCAAAGAACGAAACTAGACAAACTCATGAAGATGAGAAAGAATCAATGAAAAAATGCTGAAAACCCAAAAAGCTAGAGTGCCTATTCTCCTCCAGATGATCACAACGTCTCTCCATAAAGGGTGCAGAACTGGATGGAAGATCAGATAGAGAACTGACGGAAGGAGTCTTCAGAAGATAGGTAATAAAAACTACGATGAGCTAAAAATGCATGTTTTAACCCAATGCAAAGAAGCTAAGAACCTTGATAAAGGTTAGAGGAATTGCTAACTAGAATAACCAGTTTAGAGAGGAACATAAAAGACCTGATAGAACTGAAAAACACAGCATGAGAACTTTGTGAAGCATATGCAAGTATCAACAGCCGAATCGACCAAGTGGAAGAAAGGATATCAGAGTTTGAAGACTACCTTACTGAAATAAGACATACAGACAAGAATAGAGAAAAAAGAATGAAAAAGAATGAACAAAGTCTCCAAGACTTCATAAAAGGACAGAACCTACGATTGATTTGAGTACCAGAAGGAGATAGGGAGAATGGAAACAAGCTGGAATACACATTTCAGGATATTATCCAGGAGAACTTCCCCAACCTAGCAAGACAAGCCAACATTCAAATTCAGGAAATACAGAGAACACTATTAAGATATCCCATGAGAAGATCAACCCCAAGACACATAATCATCAGATTCTCCAAGGTCAAAATGAAGGGAAAACTGTTCAGGGCAGCCAGAGAGGCAGGCCAGGTCACCTACAAAGGGAAGTGCATCAGACTAATAGCAGACCTCTCAGCAAAAACTCTACAAGCTAGAATAGATTGGGGGTCAATATTTAACATTCTTAAAGGAAAGAATTTTCAACCCAGAATTTCATATCCAGCCAAACTAAGCTTCATAAGTGAAGGAAAAATATAATCCTTTCCAGACAAGCAAATGCTGAGGGATTTTGTTACTACCAGGGCTGCGTTGCAGGAGCTCCTGAAAGAAACACTAAATATGGAAGGGAAAAACCAGTACCAGCCACTGCAAAACCATACCGAATTCTACCAGAGGTACAAAGAGGAGCTGGTGCCATTCCTTCTGAAACAATTACAATCAATAGAAAAAGAGAGAATCCTCCCTAACTCATTTTATGAGGCCAGCATCATCCTGATACCAAGCCTGGCAGAGACACAACAAAAAAAAAGAGAATTTTAGACCAATATCCCTGATGAACATCAATGCAAAAATCCTTAATAAAATACTGGCAGACCAAATCCAACAGTACATCAAAAAGTTTATCCACCATGATCAAGTGGGCTTCATCCCTGGGATGAAAGGCTGGTTCAACATATGCAAATCAATAAATATAATCCACCATATAAACAGAACCAAAGACAAAAACCACATGATTATCTCAACAGATGCAGAAAAGGCCTTTGACCAAAATTCAACAGCCCTTCATGCTAAAACCTCTCAATAAACTAGGTATTGATGGGACGTATCTCAAAATAATAAGAGCTATTTATGACAAACTCACAGCCAATATCATACTGAATGGGCAAAAACTGGAAGCATTCCCTTTGAAAACTGGCACAAGACAGGGGTGCCCTCTCTCACCACTCCTATTCAACATAGTGTTGGAAGTTCTGGCCAGGGCAATCAGGCAGGAGAAGAAAATAAAGGGTATTCAATTAAGAAAAGAGGAAGTCAAATTGTCCCTGTTTGCAGATGACATGATTGTATATTTAGAAAACCCCATCATCTCAGGCCAAAATCTCCTTAAGCTGATAAGCAACTTCAGCAAAGTCTCAGGATACAAAATCAACGTCCAAAAATCACAAGCATTCCTATACACCAATAACAGACAAACAGAGAGCCAAATCATGAGTGAACTCCCATTCACAATTGCTTCAAAGAGAATAAAATACCTAGGAATCCAACTTACAAGGGATGTGAAGGACTTCTTCACGGAGAACTACAAACCACTGCTCAATGAAATAAAAGAGGACACAAACAAATGGAAGAACATTCCATGCTCATGGATAGGAAGAATTAACATCATGAAAATGGCCATACTGCCCAAGGTGATTTATAGATTCAATGCCATCCCCATCAAGCTACCAATGGCTTTCTTCACATAACTGGAAAAAACTACTTTAAAGTTCATATGGAACCAAAAATGAGCCCACATTGCCAAGACAATCCTAAGCCAAAAGAACAAAGCTGGAGGCATCACACTACCTGACTTCAAACTATACTACAAGGCTACAGTAACCAAAACAGCATGGTACTGGTACCAAAACGGAGATATAGACCAATGGAACAGAACAGAGCCCTCAGAAATAATGCCGCATATCTACAACTATCTGATCTTTGACAAACCTGACAAAAACAAGCAATGGGGAAAGGATTCCCTATTTAATAAATGGTCCTGGGAAAACTGGCTAGCCATATGTAGAAAGCTGAAACTGGATCCCTTCCTTACACCTTATACAAAAATTAATTCAAGATGGATTAAAGACTTACATGTTAGACCTAAAAGCCATAAAAACCCTAGAAGATAGCATAGGGAATACCATACAGGACATAGGCATGGGCAAGGACTTTGTGACTAAAACACCAAAAGCAATGGCAACAAAAGCAAAAATTGGCAAATGGGATCTAATTAAACTAAAGAGCTTCTGCACAGCAAAAGAAACTACCATCAGAGTGAACAGGCAACCTACAGAATGGGAGAAAATTTTTACAATCTACCCATCTGACAAAGGGTTAATATCCAGAATCTACAAAGAACTTAAACAAATTTACAAGAAAAAAATCAAACAACCCCATCAAAAAATGGGCAAAGGATATGAACAGACACTTCTCAAAAGAAGACATTTATGTAGCCAAAAGACACATGAAAAAATGCTCATCATCACTGGCCATCAGAGAAATGCTAATCAAAATCACAATGAGATACCATCTGACACCAGTTAGAATGGCAATCATTAAAAAGTCAGGAAACAACAGGTGCTGGAGAGGATGTGGAGAAATAGGAACACTTTTACGCTGTTGATGGGACTGTAAACTAGTTCAACCATTGTGGAAGACAGTGTGGCGATTCCTCAAGGATCTAGAGCTAGAAATACCATTTGGCCCAGCCATCCTGTTACTGCATATATACCCAAAGGATTATAAATCATGCTGATATAAAGACACATGCACATGTATGTTTATTGTGGCACTATTCACAATAGCAAAGACTTGGAACCAACCCAAATGTCCATCAATGATAGACTGGATTAAGAAAATGTGGCACATATACACCGTTGAATACTATGCAGCCATAAAAAGGATGAGTTCATGTCCTTTTCAGGGACATGGATGAAGCTGGAATCCATCATTCTGGGCAAACTATTGCAAGGACAGAAAACCAAACACCACATGTTCTCACTCATAGGTGGGAATTGAACAATGAGAACACTTTGACACAGTGTAGGGAACATCACAAACTGGGGCCTGTTGTGGGGTGGGGGGAGCGGGGAGGGATAGCATTAGGAGATATAACTAATGTAAATGACGAGTTGATGGGTGCAACACACTAACATGGCACATGTATACATATGTAACCTGCATATTGTGCACATGTACCCTAGAACTTAAAGTATGTATATAAAAAAAGAGTTTCTGCACAGCAAAAGAACTATCACCAGGGTGAACAGGCAACCTACAGAATGGAAGATAATTTTTGCAATCTACCCGTCTGACAAACGTCTAATATCCAGAATTTACAAGAAACTTAAACAAATTTACAAGAGAAAAACAAACAGTCCCATCAAAAATTGGGCAAAGCACATGAACAGACACGTCTCAAAAGAAGACATTTACACAGCCAATAAACATATGAAAAAAACTCAACATAATTGATCATTAGAGAAACGCAAATCAAAACCACAATGAGGTACCACCATCTCACGCCAGTCAGAATGGTGATTTTTAAAAAATCAGGAAACAATAGATGCTGGCAAGGCTGTGGAGAAATAGGAATGCTTTTATACTGTTGGTGGGAATTTAAATTAGTCTAACCATTGTGGAAGACAATATGGTGATTCTTCAAGGATCTCGAACCAGAAATACCATGACCCAGCAATCCCATTACTGGGTATATACCCAAAGGAATATAAATCATTTTACTATAAAGACACATGCACACATGTTTATTGCAGCACTGTGTACAATAGCAAAGACATGGAACCGACCAATATGCCCATCAATGATAGACTGGATAAAGAAAATATGGTACATATATACCACAGAATACTATGCAGCCATAAAAAGGAATGAGATTATGTCCTTTGCAGGGACATGGATGAAGCTGGAAGCCATCATCCTGATCAAACTAACACAGGAACAGAAAACAAAACACCACATGTTCTCACTCATATAAGTGGGAGTTGAACATTGAGGACACATGGACACAGAGAAGGGAACAACACACACCAGGGCCTGTTGGAGGGTTGGGGGTGAGGGGAGGGAACTTAGAGGGCGGGTCAATAGGTGCAGCAAACCATCATGGCACTTGTATACCTTTGTAACAAATCTGCACGTTCTGCACATATATCCCATTTTTTAAAGATGAAATTTTTAAAAAAGGAGAAAAAAAGAATTAAAAACCAAAAAGAAAATAATTTGGCTTTATACAACAAAAGCTTTAAAACAATTCTCACCCTTAATTAAATAATTCCCCTTAGAGCAATCAATCCTAAGAAATTAAAGGTGCTGCCAAAATGACTTATGATAAATCTCATTTTATATATATGTAACATTATATATATAGCATTATATATATAACATTTTATATGGCATTATATATATATATATATATAAATTGAAAGCAATATACCTATCAAAAAGAGGGAAGATTAAGGAGATTTTGGTATACACCAGTGGTCTCAACTTTGACTTGAGTATAATAACTGCATATTGCAAATACTCATGCTCAGACCTAACCCCCACTGTATCAGGTTTTTCTAAATTGGGGTACCATATGTTACAAAGCTTCTGGCGTTATAGTGTTGATAAGTACCAATGATCCATATGATTGATGTTTGATAACCATTAAAAAAATTTCAATGGCAAGAGGGAGTACTTATAGTATAATGTTAAGCAGAAAAAGAAACAAGTGTGTGTTCATTTTGATCTTAGTCTGAGAATAAACTATACATTTATATATAAGTATACATATACATAATGTTGATTATTGAAAAGAATATGAAAGAAAATACAACAAATCACAATCTCTGGGTGTAAGATGATGATGAACTTAAATTGCATTTGTTCTTTATGCCCCCACACACCCAAAATTTTCTGGGCAGTGGAAAGTGATACTGTAATAATTAGTAAAAAACAAAGCTTTCAGTTATTTTGTAATATAATACCTTATGGAATTGTTTTATTCAAGCCAAATAATATACTCTATTTTGGATTAAATAAAATTTGAGATATAAATTAGGGGTTATTCTTAAAGTTCTTAGAAAAACATTTATTGTTCCTCATTATGTGGTTTGCTTTGGTTCAGTTGGTTTTGTCCCTCTAGTCACAGGCTGGAGGACATGTGATGTATTTGGCTTCTATGAGGGCTCTACTTTATTTGATGGGAACAGGTCAGGCAGAGAAGTATGAGCAATGCATCAATTAGCAGACATACCCCATCAGACAGGAGCTACAGGAGGTTAATAGAACTCTTAGTGGCCTAGAAAGAAGACTTGCTGTTTCACACATATTTATATAGACAAGGTGAGTCTTTTCCCTTAGGCTGAATTAAATGAATGTGACTGAATAGCCTTGAGTCCTGCTTAGTGTGCTATTTACAAAAAAAGAAAGAGTTTATATCTCTGTTTTCAGAAAAACAGATTTATGGCTAGCAACTATGTTCTTTCCCTAACAAGTATTAGAGACCCTAAGAAAAAGTCTTTTTTTTTTATTTGTTTGTAGGAGTTAAAAAATACAATTTATTTTTATATTCTATCATGCTACATATTTATTTTATACCTTTCTTGAAATCAAACTAAAATTCCAGATTGGAAAACTCATTTGATTTAAGCTTTGTTAGCAGCAAATGTGTGTGTGTGTGTATGTATGTATATATATGTGTGTGTGTGTGTGTATGTGTATACATGTATATGTGCTACAGTTTTCCCAGAACCATGCTAATAAGAAAATAGTAATTTCATGAAATATGAATAACCAACTCTACATAGACTATTCATTCTGTTATTAAATATAGCTGCATTGTCAGTATTTTCACAAAAGTTCTATGCGTATTCCATATAACAAGATGAAATAGGTAGAGAGAAGCAAATATCATGTAGGATTTACTTTTGTAGTTTAATTAATGACATCTTCCAGATAAAGGTGAATGGAGCAAGTAAGCAAAAAAGCTGAGAATTTACAACAACCCCAGAACTCTGTGTAAAGTCAATTAATGACCTACTGAGAAAAAATGACTATTTTATTAATCAAGAAAACACAAAAAGTAAATAAGAATCAATAGGCTGTCAAATGATGAAGAGTGAAGAACTAAATATGTCTAATTTTAAGGAAAGGCTTTTGCATTCGCAATTCTACCCTTTATCAACTATTTAGCCTCGAAGAGTAGCCAGTTTTCAGCATTATCAATGCTCCACTAAGTTTTCAATTTAACTTGTAGCTGTGTTATTACTTTTCTTCCCAAATTATTCATTCCAGTAGACAAGCACAAGGCTCTTTTTGCTTCATTGGATTTGTGCACTCATTTCCAAAGGCAGAATTTGGGCTAGATTGCTCTACATATATATGCAAAAAGTTTTTAGAAAAGATATTGAATTTTTACTCCAGTTTGCCTATGCGATGACAAGTAAGATTTGCATTAAATGGTACTATTGATCAGGAATTTAATATTAAAATAAGGAGAGAAAAATTTTTGTAAGTGGAAAGACAATTCAGACCCAGCATGATTTGCAATGAGCACTTGAAAACTACTTTGATAAGGAAGGATTTAGTGTCTTTGGTTTGGGTTTTAGATGACATATATGTAATTAAGTTAGTGTGGAAACCTTTGTATTTCATATTCCAAGTTGAGTCAAGGAGAGCTGAACAAGTTACACAGATACTTGTCTGGATTCCAGCAATTGTCTCTAAATTGCATGTTCATTGGAATTTGCATGATTAATTTCTAGTTGAGACATGGATCTGAGGAATGTTATTCCTTGAAGGAGCTTTGTGATTTTTGTTAGGATATCTCCCAGGAACTTAGCCAGAGCATTAGCTAGGGAGTTTGATCAATGAAAATTTTAATTACATTTTTAGTGTTGAGTATTTTTTAGGTAATATTTACAAATATTTCATGAAACTTAGCTTCATGATTTTGTCAATTTTAGGTCACAGAGTAGAATTTTTTTACCTACTTTGGGTCATGGTTCTCTTTTAGAATTCAATGAAAGTACAAATACTTTCTCAGGAAGAAATGCAAAAACTTACAAAACCCCAGACTTATACATAATTTCAGGGGTTCACAGACCTTGGAAGGGCAACTTGAACACAGATTAAAAATATATCTGTTCTAAATTCGAATAACATTTATTTTAAAAATAGTGATGACTTCTAAGTCTGTCTATTAAAGGTAAGCGAAATAAAAACATTTCTATGACACCTGGTGGCTCAGAATGTTAATAGAGCAGAGGTTTTAAGACTGATTTATTGAGAAGGGATTTCCAAAGTACTAGCCTCAATCTGTGATCATTGTACAGTTGCATCATATGCAGAACATTTTAATTTTTTATTATTTTTATTTTTTGAGACAGGGTCTCACTCTGTTGCCCAGGCTGGAGTGAAGTGGCATGATCATGGCTCACTGCAGCCCTGACCTCCCGAGGCTCAGGTGATCCTCCCACCTCAGCCTCCTGAGTAGCTAAGATTGACTGCAAGTGCACACCACCATACCCAGCTAATTTTTGTATATTTTGTAGAAATGTGGTTTTGCCATGTTGCCCATGCTGGTCTCGAACTCCTGGGCTGAAGCGATCCACCTGCCTGGGATTACAAGTGTGAGCCACCATACCCACTCCCATTTTTAAATACTGAATGTGAAACCAATAAAAATTTAAAAAAAAATGTGAAAAGATGCCTTCAGTTATATAATATTGAGAAAATATCAACTATTCATATTTCATACCACACATTTTATTTATTTGTGGTGGCCTTGGGGTGTTTGAGACTATACTCAGTAAAGTCCCTGCCTCAGGCCATTCCCTTGTTGTTATCACTGTGCTCAAATTATACATATGAAAGCTTTGTTTCAAATGAGACCATGCCTAGCTAGTGAAGTTCTTCAAGTTATCTCTGAATAGCATTCATTTTTCAAGTTGTGGTTATTATTATTCTAAAGTAAATTTGCTTTAAAGTAGGTAAAATATAATTTTAAAATATAAGAACTGGTCTCTGTTACATAAACAGCATGTGAGCTGTTCAACAGTACTGTGTCTTTCATGCAGATGCCCTGCCTGGACCAGGATTTGCTGTGTGGACTCCCCCACTGTCTCTTACTCTTGATTTCTTCATCTCCTTATGTGATTTCCAGAATTCCATTCCATGGTCCACAGATCATCTTTACTTTTCCCATTCTTTGCTGACTCCTAAAAACTTTCATCAATTGCTTTAAAGACTTAGAATCCCAGAATTTTTGAATCAAAATGTAGGTTAGAGGTTATGCCCATCCTTCTTATTAGGCCCTAGGATGCAGTCCCTGGGGCCTAATGAAAGTTAGGTGACTTGTCCATCAAAGTCCAGCTGGGGCACAGGTCTTCTGCCTTCTGGTCCAGTGTTCTTCCTACAGTACCAGGATACCTTTGGTTTCCTATCATGACTCTTCCCTGTATAGCTAAACTATATATTCATCCTTCTATGGCTCTCTGTGGGAAATTTTCTTTTTCCTGGGAAGTTTGTCAGGCTTGGTAGGGTCTATGCCTGATTAAGTTTTGGAAGCCATTGTAAGATGGCAATTTCAGTTCTCTCAGGCTAAATACTCCTTGAGCTGAGAAAAAACTTGAAAGGCAGGTGGTCTTGTCAACTGAACAGATACAGCCTAAATACCCAAGAAGGAAGGGTAGTAGATAATTTTCTTTGAAAAGCATTACCAATATCTATATGAAATGACTTGATTTAACTAGATGGTAAGATTTTCTTCCAAAGTTAAAATGTCTTTTTTTTCATACATACAAAGTTCTTATTGATTTAAGTTCTAATCTTTTGAGACATGTAATCTTGGGTCCCAAGAACAGTACCATATAGAAGCTTCAGTATAATGAATTAGGAGATTTTACACAGAAGAAATAGGACTGTAAAAATGAATACCAAAATAACAAGGCCCAACCACAAAAACTCAGTCTCATCTTTGAATTTTCATTTCCCTTCCTTTCCTCTAGCCAATTATCCATTAAGAACTGTTTTTATGACAAGTGACTCTCATATTTATATTTTCATTTCTATTAAACTGGCATCACTTTAGTTGAAGCCTTTATCACCCAAGACCAGATCCACTGGCTTTCTCAATCCATTCTCTGCTACCCAGAGTCAGAATAACTTTGCTTCACTGCTTTTTAGAATGCCTTGTCAAAAATCTTCACAAATTCATGATTGCCTCCAAGATATTATTCTAACTTTTCTGACATTCAAGCTTTCTCAACAATTCAGCTTACATACTCTTTTAAAGTATAACTGTATTATATTTTATTTAGCCAGACAGAGGATTCTCATTGAATCCTCACAACAATCCCGTATGGTAGAATTACATCTCCATTTTACAGATGAGGATAGTGAGGCCTAAAGTTGATTGGCTAGTAAATGGCAAAAGTGAAATAGGAAGCTGGGTTTGTCTAACACAGAAGTCTAGTCTCTTAATCAAACTAATCCTCCAAGCTGATTCTCTCTGCCTTCAGCCAGGTTAGTTTCCTTATAGTCCTAACTATATTTTATTCAGAACTGACTCCAAACTCATATTAGAACATTCACCAGGAATTCCTTTTTTCCCTTCTCTTAGCCTTTCTGAATTTCTTAACATTTTCCAGTAATCACTCACTGACTTATTTATTCATTTGCTAATATTTGTAAACTAATACATCTGAATCTTCTTTATGAGGTATTTCACAGATACTGTAGATGCTGTTTATCTCTTTCTTCTTTAAATAATAAGATCTAGTATCTGAGTACTCATATTTCCTTTGAGTCATACATTACAACACGATCTATGTAAATCTTTTCTTTCTCTTGGAGGGTAACAACTGTGTTTTAGGGTACTTTATACTCTTTTCAGTCCTAATGCAGGGCAATGATTATAGTTGTTATGCAAGAACTACATAAGAAGTGATATAACAGTGAATTAACCTCGTGCTATTTTGCAAGCAACCCATTAAAATAAAAGAATAGTGTTCTGGGCAAACGAAAGGGAATCCTTCAACTAAGGCAACTAATGAATTTTGGGAAGTCCTGATATGAAGTGTGTTTTAAAACAAAACACTTCAAAACTGTCTATTAAGTGTTGGCAAGCGGACATAAACATATTATTGACATTAGCTATCTTTATGAATAATGGCTGACAATTTGATCCACTGTATAAACAAAATAATCTTAGAAGATATTTCAGTGAGATTATAGATAGCTAAAATAAACCAGTTGCCCTTCACTTTATGCAGCCAGACAAGGAAAGAACACTAAATGATAAAATCAAATGCAACTTTGTTGTTAATATCAAGGGAAATGTGATACTCTTAACTAAACTTCAAGATAAAAATCCTCCATAATGGATTTTTATAAATCAATTCTATTCAAGTTTAGCCAAGAAAACACATCACCTTTAGAAAATTATTCTGTTGGCCAGGCGTGGTGGCTCATGCCTGTCATCTCAGCACTTACGGAGGCCGAGGTGGGCGGATCATGAGGTCAAGAGATCGAGACCATCCTGGCCAGTACTCTACTAAAAATACAAAAATTTAGCTCAGTGTGGTGGCAGACACCTGTAGTCCCAGCTACTCAGGAGGCTGAGGCAGGAGAGTCGCTTGCACCCGGGAGGCGGAGGTTGCAGTGAGCCAAGATCACATCACTGCAGTCACTGCACTCCTGCCTGGCAACAAAGCAAGACTCCATCTCAAAAAAAAAAAAAAAAAAAACAAAAAGAAAAGAAAAGAAAAGAAAGAAAGAAAGAAAAATTATTCTGTTACTAAATTTACTTCTTAGAATAATATAATTTATTTTTATTTTAAAAATTAAAAATTACATTTATTACCAACAGATATTAAGTGTCAACTGTGGTTTGAGATTTATTTCACTGCATATTTTAATATGTATTTAACTCACCACATGTATCTATTTAAACTTCACATACAAAGACTATAAATTTTCCATTAAATTCTTGAGAGTAAAAATTTAAAAATAAAAAGTTCCAACTTTCTTCTTTCATTTAAGATTTCAGGTTCCTTAGCAGGAGGTCAGTATTTGGATGTTGCTCTTATCACTTAAAATGTGTTTTAATTGATCTTGCTTAACCTACCAGAGCTTTTGGCCTGAATTTTGTTTAGGCTGATGAGCAACACAAAGTAGAGAAGACACTTGAGTAAAAACAGTGCTGCTTATAGAAATAGGGATTACAAACTAAGAGTGCTTCTTATAGAAACAGAGATTACAAGCTAATGAAAGGAAGCTGAGCTTTTTATTCAAAGTTCAGATACATGGGGGCTCACATCTGTGAGAATTTGTAGCTTTTCTGTTACTCTCTGAAAATAGTTGAAGCCTAAGAATTCTGAATCCATGAGTCTGTAAATATTTTAAGTTTATGAGATTCTAAGTGAAGATACAAAGCTGCTTATTTTGAAAGCAACAGGGCTTATAGTCATATTTCAAAATAGAAATATATTCTAACACCCACTGTTTAAACAATTCAAATTTTAAAAAGTGACAAAAAATTTAAATTCTTAAAATAGTCTCACCTACATTTGCTTCTATTGGTGTTAATACTGGAACATATTACACATATTACATAGTCATTCAGTTATTTGCTACTTGTCAGAAGTTGGGTATCTTAAGCTATTAGTTTGGACACTTTCATGAACTATTTTAAATATACTTAATAAATTGAATGCAAGTATATAAATCAATGCTTTTCACTTTACTAAGCAACAAAACAGAGAAGTGGTGCTGTCATTTCAATGCTCTGTTATCCAAAAGAGCTAAGTCACTGTAGAACTCCCACCAATTGTTTCCCTGAGTGAGATTTCTATGAAGTATTTTATAAGAATTCAAAGTACAACAAATCTTCCTGATATAACAAATGTCCATGTAAACATCAAATTCTAACACATAAAGAGCTCACTAACAATGTTGTGACAATTTCCTTCTTTTGTATGACTGCTTCAGTGGAGAGTCCGTATGCCTGGCATCTTAAAATTCAGGATAAATAAATTAAGAATAAATAATGTGATTCAAATATATCCTGTACTTTTCATTAAAGAAGTCAGTGAGAGAGAAAGTCAAAATTAGGTTATATCAGACAATCAGTCAACAAAATATGCCATGAGCTAAAAGTTTAATGCTTAAGTTTCTGGATTTGATGACCATTATAATATATTTATCTACATAAATAGATATTATGTTTTGATGTTAAAATGAATTACTTAGTTTGAATGAGTCTTTTCATGTAAGTTCCTAATCACATAGCCACTATTGTTCCTGCTCAGAAAACAATAACCTCTAACAAAAATGTATCCTTTGGAAAGGATTTTCTTTCATTACATGCTCTAACAATCCAACTTTAAGGATTTGCAAGGCTTCTAAACACGTTTGTAACAAAATGGTAGACCTGTATTACTGGAAGACGATGACTATTTTTTGGCAACAAATTGCCTGAATTCTCATTTTTTTGGTACATTTTTTTCTCCCTTCCTAAAATTTTCTTCTTCTTGAGTCCCAAGTGTCCCTGTTACCTGATCTTAAAACTTTCCTAAAATCTACTTGAGTCACACAAGATCTAGCTTCTTTGGAGGAAAATGATAACAGATAATTATTGCTGAATAGGATCTAGAAGCTGGTGCCTTTCATAATCCCTATGGTCTATTTTTCTTTTTCGAGCTCAACTTTTAGATTTTTAAATTTATTTTTTAATTTAGCTTTTATTTATTTTTTTTGAGACAGGGTCTGGCTGTGTCACCCAGGCTGGAGTGCAGTGGCATGATCACAACTCAGTGAAACGTCTACCTCCCAGGCTCGAGCAATCCTCCCACCTCAGCCTCCTGGGTACGTAGGACAACAGACATGCACCACCATGCCCAGCTAATTGTTTTCTATTTTTTTGTAGAGACGGGGTTTTGCCATGTTGCCCAGGCCAGTCTCAATCTCCTGGGCTCAAGAAATCCACCTGCCTTGGCCTCCCGAAGTGCTGGGATTACAGGTGTGAGCCACTGCACCGCCCCTTTAAATTCTTTCACTTGTTTCTCCTCTTGGTTTTCCTCTATGGAAAGACCAATTTGAAAGAGAATACCAAAGTCAGGAAATACTAATGATTTCTATGGACAACAACACAAAAAGTGAGAGGTTATAGTGAAAACCATTAAAAGAAATACACAAGAGGCCTGGGAAGAGGGTGTATAAGCATGGAGAGATGATGCTCAACACAATATTTCCTCCCTTTCCTCCTATTTTTCTAACCACAGTTTTCCTATGGCACCTTAAAAATCTCACTAAGTTTGTATAGCTTCAACCCAAAAGTCCAGACTGATCATATTTCCAAATATATATCATTAAAATGATATTAGTGGTTAATTTTATTATTTTTTTCTTAATGATATATTTCTGTATAAAAATGCTTTGGATTTTAGTTTTGATATTTTTGTGAGCACTATTGTTTGGCTGATAGTAACTATGTATATTTTACAAATAGAGAAATTAACAGCTGATAAAAATTTTCTAAGGCCTATGCAAGTATCTAAGCCTTAATGGAAGACTAGTACTAATATTTAATGAAGATAGAAAACATAAATGCATTAGCATATAACTGATATGACTTGTGTGAAAGTTTTTATTTTTTCCTGCTATACCATTTGTAAGTGAATGTTCAAATAACTATTACGCACAAGTGGCAAGCTGGTTTCCTTATGCTGGTGGGTTAAAAAATATAAATGTATAAAGAAAAAGGGATTAAAAAACAGGTGGGGGAGGGGTTTCCTTCAAATGGATGGAAGCCATTCTTTTGAAAGAAAACTCCCCTCTTACCTTGGTCCTGGAGCTGGTTAGTTCTCCTCTGTCCTCCTCCTAGGGGAGAAATACCCAAAGTTAAACAATAATAGAACATGGTCTTGTATTAAAGTCAAGTTCAGTTCTGGTCAACCCTTTCCTCAGGTCTCACAAGACACTACCAAATGTCTGATATACTGGGGCTTTCACTGAATTGAATTTAAAACCCATTTTAAGAATTAAGCCAAAGGGGAAGAGGAAAAAAATATTGTCTGCCCTTCAGTCTGTCTTGCCAGAGAGCTCTAATACCTTGAAGATTGGCTTAGAGTAGGAGTTCACAGAAGGGCATTGCTTGGGTAATTTTTTCAGCTGGAGTGAATAATGGAGGGCGCATCATGGTGGGCACCTGGAGTTCCTTAGGAAGAAGGGGTATGCTGGGGTGTTCTCAGCTCATCTCCCTGACCTTCTTTTGTTTTTTGAGAGTAAAATGATAGTGCTACAAGCAGCACCATGATTGAAGCAATACTAAATCTGATATGAACAATAATTATTGTGAAAATAAAAAAGGAATTAAATGGTCATTAGCTGGGAGAGCTAGAAAAACATCTGAGAAATGGATATTATCAGACACTATGTGCTTGTATTTTTTCACAATGGGAAATGGCAGGATGAATAAAGATGAGATTTTTTTTTTCTTAATTTGTCTCTAAGTAGGATTCTGTGAATTTGGAGAGAAACAAGGCAACATAGTGAGAGGCTCATGGGCTTGGGACCTAGGCAGTAATGGGCTCCAGTTCCACTTCTGTCACTCATCAGCTATTTAACCCGAGTTGCAGCAGCAGCATCTGTCCAGATGAAGATAAAAGCAACAACTACAAGGAGTTAGGGGGATCAAATTCCAGTATATATGGGTGTGCTACATAGTAGTTATTAAATTTTTATTTCCTTTTTTTTTTCCATTTATGTAGTCTCTGATATGGTGTTTTCTTATTTGAATTACTTTATCTCTGTTGAGGCTACTGTCTAATTAACAGAGCTTAGAATCAGGTCCTAGTTACCCTTTGGCATAATTTCAGAGATGGTGGGTGATTGGCTCCCATAAAAAAACAAATACCAGACAATTGATTGAATTCTGTGAGACATGAAGGAGAGTGGAGACCAAGAATGAGCCTGAACCCATACAAGATCATGTGCTATTGTTATTTAACTTTGGGTAACTTATTAAAATTCTTCATCAAGTAAAATGACATCAGGTGAGATAATGGATGTACTTTGGAATCTCAGTTTGTCAAAGTATATTCCAGAGACATCAAAATGAGGGATGTTGTAATCATTATTCTAACAGCCATTATGAAAATGTGCAGGGAAAAAACACTTTATGACAGATTCTATGTTATACAATGATATCTTGTCTCCATCTACTACTATTACCATTTATTTAGTATTAGATTTATCCTGTGAACTTTAATCGTTGTAAAGTTGGATGATATAAATATGGCATGATATAATTCCTCCAACTATAATATATGTGGTTTCCTTTGTGTTCTTCCTTGGTACTCTAACTTCATTCATTGTTTTTAATAAATATTCTAAAAATGGCTATTTTGACAAACCAGCCCTTTTATCTATGAAACATTATAAATTCCTATATATATATATAGAGAGAGAGAGCATTTCCTGTTTTTCTGAAACAAATACCTGCAGAGATGGTAAAGCTGTGCTTAAAATGGGGGGAAAAAGTAAACTGTATTTTATGAAACACCTATTTCATCCATGGTAGTCACTTATATGACAGAGTTTTGAAGACAATATCTTTATATTTAGAAATGATCTGGGAATCTATGAATAAGAATAACTATAGGTATACTGCCTGGATTGGGTAAAATTACAGTGGCTGTGAAGTCTTCATGCTTCAGGGCGTAAAGTGAATGCTATTTGTGATGAGGAGAAAAATGAAAAAGAAATTAGGTAGTGCTGAAGTTGTTAAGGTTGTTACGATGCCCTTAGTAATCACCTTCTCAAGTATTTCATATTGAAACACCACAGGCTACCACATTATGTGGATCAATTTTTAAAATCATACCTAGATATGGAAATAGAAGTTTTGTTCTAAAAAAATCAAAACAAGTCCTTTTATAGGCCTGTGCTTCACTTTTGCTGTTTTATTCCTCCTTTTATATAATCTAATGAATTTTGTCAGATTTGTACCGTGCCAAACATTTGATGTCAGCATACAATTTTGAATGTCTGTTTTTACAGGCATACAAGACCTGCATTTATTTCTTGCTATGTTGTTTCTTACAGAGGAGTGCTTTCCTTAAATAGTTTTCCATTTCACAACGAAGATATGCTGCAATAAAAGCAGCTATTTAGTAAAGAAGTGACTTACTTAAATTCCAAAACCAGCTGAGCTTTTATAGAAGTTCTGAGGGTGAATTTTTTCTCCGTCTTATTAAGTGTCTGCAACTTCAAAGAGGTATGAGAATTTTGTTGTTTTCCTAAAGAGAGCCTAGGGTAAGACTCAGAATCTCAGACTCTCAAAGTGGGAAGGAAATAGAGATGTCAACATCACTGTTTCCTGTCCAGGAGATGTGAGAATCTCTTCTACTTTTACTTGAATAAGTTGGATGTCAGGGATCATAAGCCAATTTCCCCCCATTTTTGGGAAGCAGTTTTAATTGTAAAATCTTTCTTTGTGTTGACCTGAAAGCTACATAATTTTTTCAACTCAGTGAGAGTTTATCTAGTTTTTAAAATAAGCTAAAATTTATGGAAGTTGAACTCTATGTGGATATTTTCAATATGCCTTGAATTTATGTGTTGCCAAAACTGCAGCATGAAAGCATCACAAAAACTGTTTAGTAAGTTTTCAGAGTGAATCTATGTTTATACTAAAAAGTCATTTTTTGTTCTCTTCCCTTAAGAGCACCGGAGATTGTCAGAAGATCTCATTTCTAGTCTTAGCTGTAGGACTGTGGGCAAGTCACCGTAAGTGTATTATACAGTTCCTTCCTCTATAATAAAACGACATCATAAGAGGGTTTAACATACCATGTGAAAAATATATATATATGTGGAAGTGGTTCAAAAACTATAATGCTGAACTGTACTATTATTGTTTCACTTAAATATGCTGCTCTGTAATTTTTGGTGTTTATATGAGCCAAATTTAAGCATAATCTTTTAAAAGTGGACAATTTGGAAAGAAAATTAAATGATGTATTTAACTAATTCTATGGCTTATACAATATTATTACTGTATCACTTAGTAGAAATGAACTGTTTTTTTTGTTTTAGTCCTGTGCCATTTTTCCTCTGGGAGACAATCTGAAGTCAACTTTTCCTGGGTCCTATTCAATTCTATTTACCTCTGACTAGCTTCAGATATAAGCCAAAGGTTAGGGGACTGTTTTAGGACTCTGGATACACGGTTTCATTTTAAATTTCCTCATGCTTTTTAAGAAAAAAATTTACTTTTTATGCTAAAGGCACTAGCAATGCAAAATAGGTATACTTGCTGATAATGCTTTTATGATTTTTTGTGGTTCTAGTTGCAAATGCCTGAAAAGATGAGAATTTAGGGACTAGGGAGCTGATGATGTCTTTTCTTAGTTACTAATAGGATTTTGGCCTGTTATTATTACAAAATGAAATATTCAGAGGCCGCTTATCTATCAGGACCAAATACAAAACAATCACTCTTCTATAACAGCAGAGGCCCTGTTGGTAGCTCTTGCCAGTTTTTATATAGGCCTCTGTGTAGTGAAGCAACAACAGAAAGGGGGCTATATACTCTCATATTGCCTTTGAAAGTCAGAAGCTGTTTGTGTCACATTTGTTTGATTGACTCCAATTGAATTCTTATTCTGGCTAACTCCCAAATATTTAGCACTTAAAGAAAACAGATTGAATTTTTAACATTTCTGTAGAAACTTATCTGTGGGTCAATTTCTTCATTGAGTACACCAGAATTAAAAAAAAATTAAAGAAAGCTCAATAAAATCTAGTTTACTTCAACAGGATATAATACGACTTTGTGTGGTTGATGGTATTTAAAATGATAGTTTTCTCTAATGCTTCAGCATTGTGTACATTGAAAGGTGGAGTTAGAACTAGGGATGTTGTTGTGTCTTTAAATTTTCTTTATTTTTGAATTGTGTGATGTTAAAGGTGTATATTAAAATGGCTTCACAAAGTTTTTGAAAGTATATTTCATTCTGTAGACATCTGTTAACAAATATTTTTAGATTTTCATGAAGTATGAAATTTGTTCATTTAAAAGAAACTACATTCAATCATAAAAAAAGACTTTTTTGATGCTAGGGAGGATAAACAATATTTTCACAATATTTCTAACTTCTGTTAATATAAAAATTATTTACAAAATCTTCTCATAACCAACATAATGCTTGTTTCTGAGAAGGCTCAGGACTAGGGTTAGGTTTTTTGAAGAGCTGAATGGCAATTTTCTATTCTGATGTTGTCAGGTGGTGTACGATACTGTATATTTGTGTCAGTTATCTCAGATGTATGTTATTTCATTTTGAAAACAGAGTTAAGTGATTGATTATTTTGGAGAGGAACAAATGTTAAAATAAATGAGCTACAGTTTTTAATTTTTAGTGAAATTAAAATAGAATATAATTCTAAACCAGAGTCATTGCTATTCTCCAGCTCATTCTAAATGACTACCAAACTATTTTATCTTTTTTTTAAATTAAATGTGAATCGTAAAGTAGCCCCATCTTGATTGATGCTATCTTTAGAGACAAAAGGAAGCTAATGACACCTAAAGTTGTGGATGAGTGCTTTCCCATATGCTGTGCTGAAACAAAGGAGTACATTTTCAGTTTTGCAGAAAACCATTATTTACTTATGATGTACCAAGTAAATGTTTATCATTAGCATAAAACTGCATTAAAGCAGCATCATATACAATTCTTCACTGAAGGGTAGATTATATATCCACAATAAAGTGAGCTATTTATAGTATTGTATTATAGGCATTTTGGATTTTTATGGTAAACCTGATTACCATAACTCCCTCCAAAGCTCTGTGTTGTGTGCCTGCATGTGTTTGTCTAAAATATTCTCCACGTCTACCTATTGCAAATATAAAGAGCTACTTCCTCCCTCTATTCTTTATTTTTATTTTTTTGAGACAGGGTCTTTCTCTGTTGCTCAGGCTGGATCTTGTGTTGCCCAGGCTGGAGTGCAGTGGTGCAATCTTGGCTCACTGCAACCTCCACCTCCTGGATTCAAGTGATTCTCCTGCCTCAGCTCCCGAGTAGCTGGGACTATAGGTGCACCACCATGCCTGGCTAATTTTTCTATTTTTTGTAGAGTCAGGGTTTCGCCATGTTGCCCAAGCTGGTCTCGAACTCCTGACCTTAACTGATCTGCCCGCCTCAGCCTCCCAAAGTGCTGGGATTACAAGAGTGAGCCACTGTGCCCAGTGCCTTCCTCTGTTCTTCAGTCCTTCTGTACTCTACCACCACGCTGTCAGCTAAGAGGGCCCTGGGATCATAAGGGGAGGAATCCACTGCGGTGTGATTTTAATGCTTCTCTTCTTGGCCTGTTGTAAGAGTGAATGTAAGAGTTAAGGTCTCTCAGAAGAAGGTAATGGTTCCTCCTTCTGCTCAGCCTGTGCTGAGGCCACCTAGGGTGCCTTCTTCCTGGCACTCTTTCCTTTAGGAACGTCAATCTGGAGAATAGAAGCCAACACAAATGATGTGCAAACAACAACAACAATAGCGAATATGTCACTTGACTTTTGCTGCTGTTCTGAAGATAAATTGAGAGCCACTCGTGAACTGAATGTAAGCCACTTTATAGAAGTCATGATCCTATAACCTGAGATCCTATAGTGGAGAGTAATTAATCTGACATATTTTCTTTAATAATTTAGTATAGACAGGGCTGAAGAGTAGCTTTGCCACCATGGTCAGAATCTATAGTATGCACAGCAGAAACAAAAAAAATATCTTTCTGGGAGAATTTAAATATGGGTCCAGAGAATGCTTAGAATGAGGAAATCAAGGCCAATTAAATAGAAAGGGAATAGCACGGAAGCTTCGTGCATTCATATCTACTTTGGTTACTTCTAAGTAAACTGCCAAACATTTTGGTAGCAGTTTATCTTGTCAAATTTGATCCCCTTTGAAGTGGGAGAAACTAAAATGGCCAAAAATTACTCATTTTCTCAGGAAAGTTACTAAAATACAACTTCTAAGTGTAGTGGTAAGGAGAGCAAAAGGCTAACCCTTGAATATAGAAACTTTTCAATTTGGTGTTACCTACTCAGGCTGCTATAAAGCATCTCAAGAATGAACGACTTAAAAAATACTGATAAATTCTCAGTTGGAACCCACTCAGGAGTCATTTGTTGAATGAACTGTCAAAAGATTGAGGGCAAATCATTTTAGCATTTTTTTTAACTAATGGGAAGAATCACAAACATGTATAATGCCTTGTGAGTCTTAAAGAAATGTAGAAAAAAAGCAACGTTTGTTTCCTTCTTCATGAGGAGTTGTAATTTTAGTTATCTTTTAATTAAATAGGAAGGATTTAAATGAAAAATTTAGAATTCAAAATGGCCCTGGTAAGTTTCATCCTTCCTAGTGTAGTGAACATCTGGAAAGAGAGGAATGCAGTATATAGATTCTATTGTGCAATTATTTTTCCCTGGGACACAAGTGGCATTGATACCTTTACCATGCGATGTCTTAGTTTGTAAATGCAAAATACTTGGTACACACAATAAACACCAGTATACTTAATAGCAAACTAGGTAGCTCTTGTAAGCATATCTCAGAAAAGATTTATGTGTGCTTGTGTGTGTATGTTGAGAGATGCAAATGATTTTTGTTGTGTGTGTTTGTCTAATCCTTAGCCCAACAGACTGTATCTCAAAATATAATGGGATTACAAAAAATAAGTTATCTATAGCATCTTTTAATATGGCACTAAAAATGAAGGGTATTCATAAGCAAAGATATATCTCTTTTCATAATAGTTAAAATAAATGTGTTTGTGTACCAACCCACTGCAACTAATTTCCACAACGCATGTTAAAAGTTTCTTCATTTGAGGCCAAAGTATACTCAGTACTCAGCTTTAGATTTCTGTACGTTTACGTTTTTCTAGTATCTACTTTAAATACTATCAGTTGACTTGTTTATAATACCAAAAAAAGACTAAAATATTATTCTCACACAAAATATCCAGCAAACTGCTTTTTCCTAAACCGTCTAAGTACTTCACAAACCTTCTAAGTACTCCTGAACTAAAGTATATATCCCACAAATTTTATATGTGAAAGTAGCTCCTTAGGATAATAACATTTTTCACACATGAATTTGCATACTAAGTTTAATACACCTGCCCCAGCAAATTCTCTAAAGTGGAAGAAAAATAATTTGACCTACATAGAACTCTACTCACTCCAATGTAGATCTAGGCTAAGGCCAAGTGTCTTATGAGGCCAGTAGTTTTGTTCAATACTGAAAGGAAAAGTCCAATGAGAGATGTGGTATTCTAATTCCCATGCTGAGTATTTCCTCCCCCTGCCGTGCTATTGCTGTGGGGCTCTGAGTTGCCTGTTGTAACCTAAACATGATGTGCTTGGTTTCAATGGATCGGTTCCTGTTGCCATGGGTTCCTGCAATTTGGCATTGCCAAGTACAACTGGGCCTCATTTTTTCCAGGTCTCACCCCCTGAAGCAAGTTCTATTGGAACTGCTTTCTTTTAAAGCATCTTTTTATTTTTATTTTTTTTCAGTGACAGAACATTTGTTTTACTTTAGACACAGTTCCACAAACCTCTTTAGAGGAGGCAAAGTTTGGATGAGAATTATCACTGTTGAATAATAAAAGTATAGGTGACTAGAGTTTTTAACTTGGCTTCAAACATTAGGGTCAAGTATACAAATCATTCTAAGCGCCAGAGGAAGTGTTCAGATATGACTCACTGCTTTGTTGTCCGGAGGTATTTACAGACACTAGATACTATGAATATCTTTAAAAGGGTTATTCTCATCTAACAGCTACTTAATAGTAAATCTATGTCAACCGAATGATGATTCGCTCCAAAGAACCTTTAACAGGTTTATTTATTACATAGTAAAGTCAATAGTCTAGTAACCAGTGTAGTATGGATACTGTAGCAAAGTTGATAGTATTTTGACAGTAATGTATGCAACTTTATTATACCATAAATACTATAGTATAGTAGATGTCTATATTATAATCAACTTGTATATTAAAGTTGATAGTGTTGATAGTATTGAGAGTAAAGTCAAAATAAATATACTTCCTCTTTCTTCTAAACTTTACATTCCATTGCAATGCCATCGAAACTGTATATTTTAAAACAATCTTTGGACATTTCTCAACCAGAGAAAGGTTTTCACAATTGTTTCGGATTGCCAAGGGGACTGGGAAAGGGAGGAGAAAGAAAACCATGGCACTGATAGAAGTATAAATTGTACTGTGCATGTGAAAAAAAGATTCCAGATCAATATACCTGGAATTGTTCTGTCACTTGAGAACTGGAGAATCTATATCAAAATACAATAAACCAACAATTTCTGGCCATTGTTATTAGTAAGTGATAGATCAGTGGTTTTAAATTTAATTGTGTTATGTCCAGCAAACACTAGTCTGAAATAAAGTCTGAACGGTAAAGAGCTCTGTAAATCATTCTCTACTGTAAGGACAGGTGCTAGTCACCATTGCTGTGATATTTTTCAGTCCAGTTACAGATCTACTGTTTGAGATGATCCTTATTGCATTTGTTTTAAAGTCTGCATTAAATACCCAAGTCCTAATTTTCAATTCTGGTTATATATCGTACTCTCTCCTCTTTTCTGTGACATATTTTTCTGAAGCACTTTAAACATACAGCAAGACCTGGAAATTTAAAACTCCCTAGACCAATGGAACATAACTAGTCATTTGTCTGCATTCTCTGTTTAAGTGTAAATAGAAGGACAGATTACTGTTTTCTTTTGCTTAAAGTCTGACATTGCCTAATGAATCTGAATAGCAGAGTTTGTGAGAAAGCCATTGTTAATGACAAGGCAATACAAAAGTCTCACTACATCCAGAACTATTAACCTAAAGACCTGATTAAAAAAAGATAGATTGTTTTGGAAAACAGACTTAAGTCTCTACAGAACTGAATAAGACAGAAAGGTTTCAAAGACTTTGATACAGGTATGTTCTCTCGACCTTGCTCTGATGAATACAATTATTTTGAATTTGCTTCTACAAACTAAATCATTTATACAGAAGGTGACTATTAGTCCATCTCTGTATTAGTTTGCCTCATTTGAAGCAGAAGAATCCTAGTTGGATAAGAATGAGAATTTAAGCCTGATGAGTCTCCCGCTTAGATGGCTGAGGATGAGACAGAGAGGAGGTGGGGTGAGGTGCATGCTGGTCAGCCTTCAGTGCCCTTCCAGTGTTCTCAAAGGCAGGACAAAATGACTGCGGTTTTGGCAGGCAGGAGCCAGCTTGCTCAGGAAATTGTGGCATATATAAAACAAAGTGCATAAACAAACTCTCCATCCAGGAAGCTGAATTTAACAATTGCCTCATTAACAAGGTCCAGGGAAGGACAGGAAAAGAGGGGGAAGCCAATGGGTGATTATTATACAGTTCTGGACAGATGAAGCCCTTCAGCTTTTCCCCAAACAATCCCTGTAGTGTGGATTTGACAAAGTGGCACATTTAAGAGGGAACTCTCTTGCCATTAATGGGAGTCAGGCAAACCCGTCACTGAAGGCCAAATTCAGTCCCTGAAGCTTGACTTTATCAGTAGACACAAGACAGAGGACAAGGCAGCTATATCCACAGAGAATTAATTAAGTGCAAGAGAGACATCCAGTGAATGTAATCAATAGTCTGAACACTGATCTACATATCAATCACCATTGCATTTTTCCCTCCTATTTTTAAAAAATTATTTACGCTAAGGTGCTCTCAAAAACCACGCCTTCAACAGAGATTTATTTACTACTTGGCCTCATTGAAATTATATATTCTTCATATTGCATCACACAAAATAAACCCTCAAAGATGAAACAACCTGATGCCAGTTTAAGTTTCTGAATAGTTGAAATTGTTTTTGGGTAGAATATATTATGGATAATTTATTTGTTTGGCTTTCTCCCTGCACATTTCTTCAATTTCATATGGAATGTATGTTAATAAGTCTGACTTCAGAATTGCCACAGTCCATAACCAAATTTGTCTTTACTGGCTAGTTTTGTTTTACCTCTTTTTAATGCTGTACTTTTTGTGACATACTATAAAACCCCTCACTAATTATTACACTGTTGCTTGCAAACACAATATATTGGTTTAACACAACCTTTTCCATTACTGGTGTTTGTTTCTTATATCTCTCTCAACCCTTCCCAAACCAACACACATATCAAAGCACATTGCAGTTACCCTTTTGAAACCAATGAAAACAAGTATAATATTTATATTGCTTTCATTTGTACTAGGCAATAGTACAGGTCTCATTACCTTCACTTTTCAATGGCTTACCAGAGGCATCACTTTTTAAGATCAGGTTCTTGGTTAAGTCCTTTGGCAAAGATTCTGATTTCCTCTTGAATCTGTGCTTTGTATACATTTCTCCTAAGCAGCACTGAGACCAGAGTAATTTGTCGATCATCACTTTTGATGGGATCCAGCCCCATCAATTCAACAGCAGCCTTTATTGCTTAAGGAAAAGAGGAAATTCTGCCTCCTGGACATAAACATGTGAATTTTCTATGTCCAGGACCAAAAGGATGAAAAGGGCAGATTTAACCAATATTTCCATAAGAATGAAAGTCTCACTTAATCCACACATGTAATGGTTTGCTCATTAACCACATTTCAGGGGTCTATCTGTAAGCATTTTTGGATTGCCATTGGGTCTAATTTTACAGATCTTACTTACACCACACTCCCTTTAAAATAGGCAGGAGTGTGACTTGAGTAAGCACTATAAAACCAGAGCTCATTTTTTCCTCTGACTGTGATTGCTTTTATAAATAGATGTTATTTCAAACTTAGCATGAATACAACCTCAAGATAATCTCCAATAGAAAGATGCCATAATAAATAAAATATTGAAATGGAAAAAAAGTGGTTTGCTAGAAAAAGGTTAATTTCTTCTTACTCAGAGACTAGTGGCCAGGCATAATTAAAAAAAAATGATAAAATGTAGAATTATCACTGACATGATGGTAGTGTAGATATTGGTGGCCAAAAAAATTTGATGAGATATAAAGAAGCATATGCTACCCATGCCTTAGGCCCACTGGAAGCAGCTAGTGTTCAACCAGTTTGGTTTTTATATGGCCTTCAAAGATATATGTCAACAAGGATTAATCATTCCAAAATTAAAAAAAATTACCTGATTGTTGACCAAAATATATGAAATGGAGAAAAAGAAAACAAACAAACAAACATACCATGTTCACACACAAAACAAAATAATTCTCTCAGGCACATCAGGGAAGGTGGAATACTATAACAACACATGTTATATTGTTATACTATTCCACCCACCTTAATGAGGAACCCTTGGGCGTTGCTACTCCATAGCCTTTGGAATCCAGATTTCCTCCCACTTTCATCGTGTCACATGGCTTTCGCTGCTCAATGTATTCATTCATAGTGGACTCCAGGAGAAAGGCAAATTTGCCCTTGGATTTGCGGACACGAGCTACTCCCTCAGCTGTAGTCCTAGTGAATACTGATGGCTCTGCTGATCGCATGTAGGTCCACATCTTTTCATACACTGCTATTTTTGATCTCTGGAGGAAATTAAAATAAAATTAAATACAGGAAAGAAGGGAACAACATGTTAATATTCGCTGAACCAAGATAAGAATAAAGCGTTTTAGTATCTTTCCATTGCTCTCTAACTCCAATTTGCCACAGAGTAACATAATAGTAATATTATTATTTTCAAATAGGAAAACTGCCTTTTAACACTGTTTAAGGAAATCATGGAAATGATAGACATTTAAAAGTGATATCTGAAGAAGCCCAAACCTCTTACCATAACAGTTACCACACTCACCTGCTTAAATAGTAATCTATTACTGTTTTTTTCTATGTAGACTGCCATGAAGAGACTTGAACATTTAAAATCATGTTTTATATCACATTCATGGTAAACTTAAAAAAAGCTAAGATTTTATTTCAAGTTTGTAAAATTCCTT
Organism: Homo sapiens; assembly: GCF_000001405.40. Taxonomy (NCBI): domain Eukaryota; kingdom Metazoa; phylum Chordata; class Mammalia; order Primates; family Hominidae; genus Homo; species Homo sapiens. The sequence goes on along the minus strand of NC_000011.10, from coordinate 105,933,310 downwards.
TTAATACTGTATTTTATTTATAACAAACAAGGAGGGTTGTTTTATTTTATTTTTTTTTAGAGTTTTTTGGAGACAGGGTCTTCCTGAGTTGCCCAGACTGGAGTGCAGTGACATGATCATAGCTCACTGTAACCCACAACTCCTGGGCTCAAGAGATCCTCCCGCCTCAGCCTCCTGCATAGCTTGGACTACAGGTGCATGCCACCATGTCCAACTAATTAAAAAAAAAATTTTTTTAAAGATGGGATCTTGTTATGTTGCTCAGGCTGGTCTCAAACTCTTGACCTCAAGCAATCCTACTGCCTCAGCCTCCCAAAGTGCTGGGATTACAGGTGTGAGCCACCATGTCTGGCTGTTATTTTATTTTTATCTTTTTTCATGCCCCCAAATTTTAGTGTACATGATTCTAGTAAGATATATACAAAAATACAGTCCATATCAAGTCAGTAATTGAACACCAAAGGAAGAGGCAAAACCTGGTATAGCTTACAAACCAAATATCCCTAACACAAGAATCAAACTCTAGGTTGATTGAAACATTTTTAGACTTTTTCTGAGAAAATTTTCAAATAGAACATATATTGAACTTTAAAGAGAAGTGATTCCTATTTTCCAATTTTGTGTTCTAGGGAGTTGGTCATTCTAATCCCCTTGACTCCAGCCAAGAAACTTATTTATATTTGTAAATTACTTCTGTCTACTTGAGCTCTATCTATTAATACATTACTCTCACTACTTAATTTACCCAGGTCCTTTTTCTTGTTATCTGCATTTGCATTAAATTTTTCATTCGCACATTTTTAGTGAACTGAAATGTCTCCAAAAGATATATTTATTAATATAGGAAAGCACTGGCCAGGTGCCGTGGCTCAGACTGTAATCCCAACATTTTGGGAGTCTGAGGCAGGTGGATCACCTGATCATAAAGTTCAATATGTGAGATCAGGAGTTCAAGACCAGCCTGGCCAACATGGTGAAACCCTGTGTCTACTAAAAGTACAAAAATTAGCTGGGCATAGCAGCGCATGCCTGTAGTCCCAGCTACTAAGGGGGCTGAGGCATGAGAATTGCTCAGACCTGGGAGGCAGAGGCTGCAGTGAGCCAAGATCATACCACTGCACTCCAGCCTGGGTGACAAAGTGAGACTCCATCTAAAAAAAAAGAAAAAAAGAAAAGAAAAGCCTGAATCTTGTCTGGTGCAACTGCATTTGTTTTCAATAACAAGGGGCTGCAATTTTGTATCTGAATCCAAAAAAAAAAAAAGTGAAGACCTCATTCAGACTTACGTCTTTGTGTGAGGCTCAGTGCTGAGTAGTGTGTACATTTATTTACATTGAGCTTCCTTTGTTTACCAAAATATAGAATTCAACAAGAGGCAGTTCTTTACTAATCAACATATAACTTGAATACCTGGGCAAAGACAAATTATTCAGGTGGACAAAGAAATAAATGAATAAAAGTGGGATTCAAATTTTTGATTTCATAAGTTCGGAAATAAGTAATCAAGAAACCTAACTAATAAACCACACAATCACTGATTTGCAAACTTGAACACCAAAGAAAAAGATATTTTATGGTAACTATATTCATTTTTTTTTTGAGGGGGCAGATGGAGTCTTGCTCTGTCACCCAGGCTGAAATGTAGTGGCATGCTCTTGGCTCACTACAACCTCTGCCTCCCAGGTTCAAGCAATTCTCCTGTCTTAGCCTCCTGAGTACCTGTGATTACAGAAACCCGCCACCACACCCAGCTAATTTTTGTATTTTTTTAGTAGAGACGGGGTTTCATCATGTTGGCCAGGCTGGTCTCGAACTCCTGAGCTCAGGTAATCCACCGCCTCGGCCTCCCAAAGTGTTAGGATTTCAGGCGTGAGCCACCACACCTGGCCAGTAACTTATATTCAAATGTTGATAAATATCAAGGTGGGAAATTGACATCTTTTAGTATTTTTTATAATGTTTTTATGCTATTAACACTTGAAAAAATATCTCATGATATGAAGATTGGTGTGTGTGTGTGTGTGTGTGTGTGTGTGTGTGTGTGTATTTAGGCAATGACAGGATACTTCTGGCAACAGAATCCTCATATTAGAAAATTTCAGTGATTCTATATCCTTCCAGGACTGATGAGTACTTGGATTCCAAATCCTCAAGTACAGAATCCACTAGGAATGCCATGTTGCCATGCTTCATTCATTCCATCTCTAAAAATAGAGTTCTGTTCCAGAGAACAAACTCTTTCATTTTACAAGTTCTGAAAAATATTGCCTCTCTGATTCACTTGATACAGGTTGTCCCTCAATATCTATATTGATAATTTTAATTTTTACAGAAGTACTGGTAAACTTCCTTTAAACATATAACTACTTTTTAAATATATTTAAATCTTGACTTGAGAGTTTCACCCAAAAAGGTATAGAGCTCCACATACATTGTATACTTTACTATGTACACGACATAGAAAACAGAAGAAATAAAATCAGTGTGAATATTGTTTTAATTGAGCTATTTTATGGAATTTATTAAGAATATGAAAACCATGCTAATTACTTGGCAACTTTCCAGTTACAAATAAGTGGTTTATTAAAGGAATAGGACAGTTAAACAAAACTAACACAGCAAAATGGAAAAAGTGTGTTTTTAGGGTTTGGTATTTATAGAGATCACTTAACTATAGAATGCAGCATAGTATTAAAGCAAATAAATCTTTTTAAAAAGAATAAAGTATCTTTTACTTTTTAATAGTCCATTTCTATATATTAGTATGTGGAAAATTACTGCTGCATTTGTTTAAATACATTGAATTATGTATACCTTAAATGCAAAATAAGTTGAACTAATCCCTCTAAAATCTGGAAGAAAGAGGAATCCACAGAGTAGCTATGCTAAATATAAGAGGGTTTAGTACACTAGAAATGAAAAAATACAGATAAAATGGAAAGATAAAAGCAAGTTTTTGAAAAAAGAAATTAGCCTGGTTTGTCACCATGCTAATCTTTAGAAAATCTGATTCTGATAAGATCATATACACAGGACAATGGGATGAAGGGGAATCAAGGGGCGTAGGACTGGAAGTAATAGCCCTGTGCCTTATCTGTGACTGCAAGAGAGTGATTGCTAAGGAGTGAGGACAAGCAAATATTCATAAATTTGATGAGACAGGCTAAAATGAAGAAAATTTCTGCAGATCCAGCAAGCCCAGTAGGTCTCTGTATCAAATGTCACTGTATCAAGTACAGTGATAAAGGAACATTTAAGTCCCTAAAACCTTCAACTGTAGTGTCTGTTTAAAAACTGTGGTGTGGGAAGTGAAAAGATAGAAGTCATTATTGTTTGAAATTAGAAAATTAATCTCAGATCGATTTATTTCATCTTTATTGTGAAACTCAAAGCATGGGGAACTATCTGATCTAAAACACTGTTTTATTGCTTAAAACAATTCTTGGAATTAAAAGAATGTGCTATCCTTTTACTTTTCCCTAAATTAAGTATTCCACCATTTCTGCTTCTAATAGAAACTGTGTACAAATGTCATGTGTTATAGTTAATGTTTACATTGCTATCCGGTGAATTATTTTCCCCTTCTAGTAGCTTACTTGGCAAGACTGATGTTCTAGTGACAGCTCATCAATGCATTATTTGGTAATATCATAAACCCTGAGATAGTAATGCACATCATTTATGCATTCACAGTTTCACTGATGACTGAGACAGGCACAGGATAAAACTGCATTGAAATGAAGATCACTGTGTTTAAGTCAGGTGTGTGATAATGTGAAAGTACCAAAACAGCGAGGCTGGCATTAAGTGACAAGTACAGACTCTTTAAATGCCTCTATATTTAGGCTCACCATGGCACATAAAACATGAAGTATATAAAGTTTCATAATGGGGCAAAACCAAGGCAATAGTTGAATTCAGATGTAGTTTTCCCCTGTGGCTTAATTCTTTTTTCAGTTGATTATAACTGTGGCATTTTTTTGAAGCACTGAGTATAGGTCATTGCCTGAGGCAGCCTAGTGGAGCTGATAGATGTACCATTATTGTGTTCCTATGAGAAAATGATTTTGACAGGTACAAAAATACCCTTCACATTCTGGTTTCCTCAGCCCATCAGACAAATGGTTTATTTAAACCAGGTCAACATGTATGGGAGAGGAGGGAAGCAAACAGGGTAGGAAATGAATGAGATTTTTATCAAAGAACCCAAATTTATGCATTCCTGAAAGCGTGTTGCCAGGGGAAATTATTTTCTTGTCCCATTAGAGTTCAGAATGTTCTGCAACAATAGATACCTATATTATAAAAATCTTCCAATTTAAAAACTGAAGTTGGGTTGGAGAGAAAGGAAACAAGGAATGGTGCTTGCACAGTTTGTATGGAAGACTATAAATCTAGGAAGCAGGTTTCCCCATTCTTATATTTCTCTTAATATATTCTCTTATCTACCTCACCAGTTCTTTGAATTTAAGCATTTGTAACTTTATAAAGATTAGATATACACATTTTCAGTGTGCTTAATGCTAAAGAGCTTTACAGTGAGTTACTTTTGAAATATTTTCACAGAATCAATATAGCATTTCTTCTTCCCTTTATCACTCAAGGCAGAATGATGAGCCTGCAAATAATGTCTTTATTTAAATGACAATCAGTCATCAATTTTCAGTAAAGTGCAAATGATAGCACAAACTTGTATTTTATTTTGGTGCATATACATAGTAATTTTTAGGCGAAATCGTTAAATTTTACGTGCTTACTTATATGGATGGGAGCAGTTATAAACCGGCAGCACGGTACTGAAATTATGCTGAAATACATTAGAGTAGTAATGTTTCTATTATTAAGCTGTAGAAATAGGGATGTGCTAGGTAAGTTAAAAAAAGTTTGTTTAATCAAGTTTATCCATAGACTATTGTTAATCAAATCTACTGTCATGAATATTACTTACAGTTTTAAGAAAATCTATTAAGTGTTTTGTAATTAACTTATACATCTTAGATTATACCTAATAATACTCCAAATTGTTGACAAGTACATTGTTCATTGTCTGGTTTCTTTTCTAAACAATGCCCAGGGATGAATTTGAGTTTTTGAGTGATTTGCTCTTGATATGATATTATGTAAACATCTAAAGTATATTAGGATACTATAATCAAATTTTCTTTAAAAAGGATAAATATCTTACAGAAATTCAAGTATACAAAAGTTAAAGCTGGCCTAAGGAGTAGCACATTTTGTTGTTTATAATTGTTAAGCTGAATTGAGTGAGAAGATTATAAATAAATACATTTAAAATGGAAATGTAATCTCTCAAGTGCTGTATGTAGGCACGAACAAAGAGCTATTACTACTTTCCCATGAAAGCTTAGAAAGTAATAAAATATATGTTCTGTCTTCTATGCTATTAAATATTCTAGTGTTTAAACAATTGACATAAATATAAAATGTGTTCGTTTTTACCTAGTTCGATATTCATAAAAATGTCACTCTGGCGAACTTTTTAATTTTTGGGTTTTGAAGTCACAAAATGAATGCCTATCTGTTATCAGACATTACCAAATGTATAGCTCTGGATTTAAAAAGACTAGAAAAAGGGTTTTTTGATAAAAAAAATTCATCCCCATAATGGAACAAACACTAAAAAAAACTAAAATAAAAACCTCTATTGTTCCGATGGAAGGTCAAAGGGACATACAATGCAATTACATCCATATATATAATGCAATTATACATGTATCCATATATGTAATACAATTATATCAGTTGGAAAATTTTTATCTGCAAAGCAGAGAAATCAGCACAAACTAAATGCCATACAATGTCCTAGAGAGGGGCCTAGAATGGAAAAGTTCTTGCTGTTATTACCTTGTGAGAAAGCAAATATGTTGCTGTGAAGTTCATTGTTACAGAATAGGTTATAGAATAATATAACTCATATAAGTAGTATAATCTGCAATTAAGGTTTTGTGTTTCAAACGCAGCAAGTTGAATGTATTCTTCAAACGTCAAGTTTTCATTTTTACGCTCTCAGCCCAAAAGCAGACATAAATCCAATCTTACCAGATCCAATATTATCATAGCATTATCAACATTGGAATGTTTTGGATAAATTATGTTATAAAGTTGTTTTAATTACCTTTTCATTGTTACTATGCCTTAGAGAGTGTTCCTCTTGCAATATGAATAAGTCAATTACCTTTTGCAAATTAAAGTGATTATAAAATCCAGTTAGAAGTACTAGCCTTAAACATAGCTATTACTATTGTGTTTGTAAACCTTATAATAGCTAAAGCCCATGGTATAATTGTTGGAAAAATTGCCTGAATTTCAAAATGATAAACATTTCATTTTTAGTTTTTCCCTTAACTTACTCTGAAGAATTCTTTTGTTGATCCTGAATCCAGTGTTCCATAGGCAATTTCTGTTTGTTTGGCCAGGTCTTCTGCACTTTCTATGGGAGAGACCATTCGCTCAACCGTCAGGAAAGCAGCGAGGTTAGCAGTATAAGATGATATAATGATGAGTGTAAAGAACCACCAAACACCTCCAACAATTCGACCTGAGAGGGATCTAAACATGGATAAAATAATGCACATTTTCCTTTCTTTAACCAACATAGAGAAAGAAAAGAAATACCGTCAATTCACCATGCATATTTAAAAATAACAATTGCCAAGTATTGTTTTATTTTCTGAGAGTCTGCTCAAGAATGATTCTGAATTTCTGTATAATCTGATGTCTTCTATGGTGTATTTAATATATAAATGCCACTGAAAATATGACAACCATTTCCTTTTTATTGTTTAAAGAAAATGGCAGAAATGTAAAACTTAATAGCTTTTCTTCAGCTGCTCAAGGGGAATACTTAGTTGAATTCATTAATACTCTCCTGCCCTCATTTCTTAGCATCTCTGAAATTAGGATGCAGCCTATGGTTGATGAGATAAAATATAGTATCATGGTTTAATTGGCAGCATTGTTTCTCTGTTTGTGGTACATAAATTAGCAATACCTATGAACAGTGACTGCAGTCTTAGATTTGATGCAAGTTTGTAAATACCTTTCTGAGACTAAAGGAAATAACTTGTTTTACCTTCAGTCAGAGCCCTGCCAGGATGATGGGATGTAGGCCAAGGTGAGATTGGACCCGAAGAGCGTCTAGAATTGGTCTCGAAGTGACCATAGTTGAGGCTTTTTTTGTTTGTTTGCTTGATAGTCCATTCCTGAGCTAAGTGGAGGTTGAACCATGTCTCAAAGTTATCTTTACACACTCATATACGATTTTCTCTCTTTTCACTCTTTCTCTGGTATCAAGGATGTGTGGGTGAGTGTGAGTGCAGAGCAAATGTGAGAAGGGGGTGAGTAAAAAAATCCAGAGAATGTTCATCATTGAACTCACTTATTGTAACCATCAAACTACTTAAAATTCCTGGGGCAAATTGTTGTAAAACATTTGTTTTAAAACTTGAAGAATGATTTCATATTTTTCATAGCATTTCCAAAGTTAAAATACTCCCTTATTATAATACTTGCTATTATAAAAGAGACACCTATTGGGTTTAACTTAATATTTGCTTAATCCTGGCTTTTAAAAGCCATTGCTTGACTTACTTTGATTTCTTTTTAGTTCATTAATTGAAAGTTTTCAAGTCAGATTCCTATGTTATTGGAATTTAAACATATTTATAATTTTCCTAGGTCTTAAGAAACACAAATTGCATTGTGCCCAAAATGCCTCTTTTTTGAGAAAGCATACATTTCTATAAAGAAAGAAATCCATATATTTGTGATGCTAATATATAGTCAACAATTAAAGTAAATACTTTTCTTCTCATACCTTCAGCTACTTTCTCTATGAGAAAAGTAAGGCATTTTTTCTTGCAAAAGAAGCCTGCATTTTTGGTGAATATAATGGTTAAATGATATCTTAGTGGTATCCAAAGGAAGGGAGCCATGACTCCACAGATATTGAAAAACATTTCCATAAAACTAGCATAGTGTTTGCATGGTTGGCTTTTTGCCTATTGCTTAGCTAATTTATGCATTGCTATATAAAACAATGTATATCTGGTACCTACTATCTTGACTCAGGTTCCAGGTATCTCCCTTAAGCTATGTGAGATAAGAATTAAGTCCAACATTAATTTCTGAAAATGAGCAACAACAACAATAGTAGGAAAAAATTGCAATAATAGCAAAAGTGTTTGTTTTTTAAAAGGAAACAAAATGGAAATGAATTCCTGTTCTATAATTTAGGTTCCAGTTTCCATTTGTCAAACCAATGAATGAAATATTAATACTAAATGATTTTTGAGAGCTCTGATGGATTGCATAGTTTCTTTGCTATTGAGAAAGTTAATATTTATGATATATCCATATTTTGTGCTAACTTGGAAGAAATTGCTATTTGGGAATTGCAAGTCTTTTTCTGTGTTTCAAATAGTCCTCTGTCTTCAGGAAAAGAACATGTAGAGAGATAATCTGCACAACATTTAGAATTACTGGGAAATCAGTGAAGAACTTAAGAGATTTGAAACTAACCTGGGTGAAATGTCACATCCTTGCTGCATAAAAGCACCCAGGGAAAACCAGAGGCTGTTAAAGATGCCAAACTCATTGGGAGGCTGGTCGCTGGGTCCTTCCTTTCCGTCCTCTGGCTCTTCTGTGTGCCACTCATATGGACTAAATCTACTAACTAGGAATAAGACCACGCTGACACCAATGTAGGCAAAGACTATGCACATCCAAATCTCATAGGCCAGAGGATCCAAGAAGGAAAACACTCCTGGTTTGGATTTCTGAGGCTTTTTGATCATGATAGATATGCCCAAACTCATGAAGGGCTTAGAAAAGTCAATGACCTCCTCTCGTACCAAAGTGATTGTCAGAGGGGCAATAGCAATCTCTGCTTTCTATAAGAGAAAAAACACATGGAGACACATAGGTTAATGAATTTCATGAAGCAATTAGCACTGGAATGATCCATTTAAAGCTAACCAGTCATGCGTTTATTCTACATTTATTTTTGGAGTGCCAACAATGTATAAGCCTAGTGATAGACACAAACATGAATAATAATTTTTTCATAAGATATTACTTAAATTGCACAAAACATTTTAATATGTTCCAGTAATTAGATAAAAGGATAGAAAACAGAGTAAGAGTGGATAAGCAAAAATAACTTGAACTCAAATTACTGTATTAGTCTTTAAGGATCTGGGACAGTGCAGAGGAGACTTGACAGTCTTTCCATATGGCTGAATTTGTGAATTTCCTGGCCAGGAACGCTGCTATGTTGCAGCCTTTTCTGTTTCATTTGGAGCATTGCCACTGATTCATTACTTGGCCATCCCTTAATATTATGAATTGCAAATTTCAAACAGTCTTTTCTTTTTTATTCCTTTCCAGCTATGAGTAAACAGATCATAAAGCCTGTGCTTGTATGATAAAAGAAAATCCGTTGTTTGACGATATTTTCCAATTCAGCACACACACAAAAATCTGGAAATTGGCATTTATTTCTTGCTATTCACATATTTTGATTTCTTTATCTTCATTTAAAAAAAGATTTTGAAAAACAGTAGATTCATTTCTCAGGTATTATAATCATAAGGCACTAGCCTCCATTTTCAGAGTTCTGTCATTTTGAGCAATTTTTCTGAGCTTGTTTCTACAGCTATAAAATGAGGATACTTTTTCCCTGTTTACCTCATAACGTTATTGTGATTATTTATTAGAAGCCTTAATAAGGTAATAGTGAGCATTTATTGAGGGATTCTGTGGCTGATGCTGATCTGATGCTGATCTAAATATTTTGAATAGCTTCTCTTTTACTCCTCATAAGAATCATATGTTTATCATTGTCTAGATGATGAAACTGAGATTCAGAGAAGGGAGATTCACATATCATGGCAGCTCTGGGATTTGAGCCTGGGCTGCTTCTATTAAATCACCACCACCTCTAAAATCAAGTGAAATAAGGTGTAGAGTGTCAATCACCCCACCTCTAAAATCAAATGAAATCAAGTGTAGTGTGAAAACTAAACTGTCGCATGATCTACAAATAAAAGGGAGTTTTGATTGTTTATTTTAAAAGGAATATACTTGATATTAAAATGGAGTCAGAAACATGCTCAGACATACAAATTCTTACATAGAGGCTGCCACTCTTGCAATGACTCCTACCTATCCTCAGGCTCCTGGTTCTATACAGTGGCCAAGGGCTTGCTACAAGGGCAACTGGGGGGTTAGAATGGGGAAGGCACGTTTTAGTCACGTCTCCCTGGGTGACTGAGAATTGACCACATATGCCTTCAAGAGGGAATAAACTTTGTTCAAATCATAAAAGCCCATATATACAAGAGTCAGACCATTGCTGGAAGGTTATTATTTTCCCCATAGCTATCATTATGTATATAGTTTTTGTTACATAAGTGATATGTGAACTAGCTGTAGAAAAATCAGTATATTTTAATTATTTTATTAGTATGACCCAGCCCATTAGGAAATGTTATCTTTTCCCATCACCTACTCTTGTTTTTTCTTTCTATATACTCTGAGAGACTTTGTTCTATGAAGAGTATTTTTAATTTCTTTTAAAAAGGAATAATGTAGAACATTATATCTTACAATTCTTTTTCTCTTCTCAAATAATATAATGAACACTTTTCCATTTCAGTATACAAGTTAAAAGTAAGTTTTAATGATTGCAAATGCTTTATTGGAAAAATGTCAAAATGTACTCAATCATTTATTAAGTTTGAGGGATATTCATATTGTTTCCAGCTTTACAAAATTTAAAACAGTGAAGCTATGAACATCTTTGAGGACAAATCCTAACACATGCTTTAATTATTTAAGATAAATTTCTAGAAATGGAATGGCTGGTCTAAACAGTAATAATCTTTTTAATGCTTATAATGTACTTTGCCCAACTTTTCTTCAGAAAGATTATGCAAATTTCTACCATCCCCAGCACTATGCAAAGGCATGTTCAGCTTTAAACCTCAGAAAAGTTCTGTTTACTTGTCTTCACCAATTTTCTGGAAGGAAATTAGATATTCTTGTACTAATTTGAATTTGTTATTATAAAACGAATAGCTACTTGTTCTTTTATGTATTACTGTAATAATCTGCCCCCACTTTTCCATATTGAGTATTCATTTTTTTACTTCCTAATTTGTGAGCACTTTAAAATGTATTTAAAATATTCACTTTTATTTCCCATATATGTTGCAATTTTTTTCCCTAATCATCAATTGTTTTGTTTCCATAACTTAATTCAAGGTCTTTTCTTGCAATACATAGGTTTTAAATTTTGTTGTAGCCATATAAAATTATTTTTGTGTGTGTTTTCAGCCTTTGGTTTCATGTTCTAGAAAAATCATTTTCCTATCAATATTATGTATTTTATTCTAGTATCTATAATTCTCCTATCACTTTTTGGTATCTTCCATGATGAAGTGTTAGAAAATTGTTAATTCTCCAAGTAGTCATCCTCCTGTACCAACAGGAATAAATAAATAACACATCTTTTCACTTACTTGAAATGCCTCCTTTCACATACTACATTGTTCTGTGAGGTATCTTCTGAAATTTTTAATTTACACAAGTTCCCACTAGTGAGGGAAGAAGCCTTAAAAAGACACATGAAGAGAAATACAGGTGTTTTCTGAAGAGAAAACTAAGTGCCATAGAAAGTGAACGTTGTATGAAGGTGGTGACATCCATGTCCAATGAGGGACACTTTCAAAAAGTTAGAGATAGGTGAGAGTCTAGAAAGAGACTAGTAGAGATAGGTTACACATGGGCTTCCTCTGCCAACATCGGGGATGTTGCATGTGCATTGTTTCATGACCTCTCAGTAATTCCCAAAATTGAGTGTGTAAAATGTCTCCACAGGTAATTCTGGTGCTAGTGGACCATGGAATGTGCTTTGAGAATTATTCCCTTGGACTAAAACACACACACACACACACACACACACACACACACACACACACACCCAAGTGTGGTAGAGGCCAAGGAAATGACCCTGAAGCAGCACACTGCAGGAAATCAGGGTGAGCTGGCTTTAGTGCACAGGCATGGTAGCAAAAAGGACCTGAGTGTGAGAGAGGTTCTGGGCTTCTGGGTCTCACACATGGTGTGTTGGATAACATGTAAATGCCTCACAGACAATCTGTTCATTACAATTATAGCAACAAAGTTTGCAAGGAGTAAAGTAAAAAAATATAGTGAATCCAAATTTAATAATTTTGCAGAGTTAATCACCTAGATATAATAGACTTTGTTCTATAGAAGAGAATGGATTTAGTTTTACCTAGGGCCCTGGGAACCAGGCACTCATGTATGTGTTTGCAGTAGGAAAACAAACAAACAAAAAAACGTTGAGAAACAATATAGACTTTGCAGACACCAAAATGGAAAGTACCTAGACTGTGGAGTGTGTAAGAGACCTGGAAGAAGATTCCTTTTGGGAAAAGAGTGGACAACTCAAGCATCAGAGATTGGAGTCTTTAACCACTTGCAGACTGGCTGAGGAATGAATATGAATATAATATTAATAACCATTATGTTATCTTTTGTCTCTTTGAGAACTGCATAACTTTGGGACTTTTTGTTATTGTGACATGTATAGGACTGACATAACTTTTTCACTAATTATGCTACTCCCTTCATATCCTTTGTTTTCATTATTTAAACAATTTTCCCTGAATGAAATGTGGTCAGAACACTTGCAAAAGAGCGAGTCTGGGCTGCCCAGTGGGTAGGGACTCCAGAGAAGAGATGTATGACAAATGCCTCAGAAAGTAACTCACGTCAGTTATGCTGTTCATAACTAACTGGTAATCCAAGTATGATTTTTTGAGATGAAATATGTAAGAGTGTTTTCTAAAGGAAATGAATTACAGTAGTTCCAACAACTTCGATATTGTTAACATCTAAGTTATGCTTACTGTATCAAAAGTTTAAAATATTAACCAAAGAACAAATGCTTTAGAAACCCTTTTCCTTTGGAATTTAAAGCTCAATATGAAACAGTCGATGAACTCTGTGGTAAAATACATTTTGCTATTTTTTAAACTGCATTTTTTTTTCTCATTTAGGGTCACCTAAGCAGTCAGCAATTCTTTCCTATGGATATAAAACTAACCAATTGCTTCATAATGTCTAACAATTTCCTCATTCTGCATAGGTTTTAGCTGCTTTACTGTACTGTACAAAGAATGTTCATTGCTTCATGGTCTAAAAGGCAAGATGCAGAATCGTCTGCCTTTTTATCAGAAGGCAGTTTTGCCTTCTGAATTGAAGTTTTGGCTTGGAAAGTGAGTCCCTCCTAGGACTTCAGTTATGTTCTAAATCTTTCTATCTTTATTGTTTTCTGAAGAAGATGACTGTCTGTGTAATTCTCCATTTCCAAGGGGTCTTGTGAGGATTAATCAGACTACATTTTGAAGGTGAAATATAAGTTGGCTTTTAGGAAATTTCATATTACATTTCGAGTATGTGTTACTTCATTGGTTACTCGATGAATAGAGTTTCCTACAAGCTACAGATTTAGTTTCTGGACTTCTGAAATATTGTGCTATCACTAGCATGTGATAATTGCCAGTTTGATTTTGACATTTACAGTGGTAGCTGAAGACATTGATCTTGATATTGCTCTGATTCAGGCAGGAACATTTATGTTGTATTTGCCTTCAGCTATGAATGTGTACACTCAATATCAGGTACACTCAAGGGAGGCGCATAACATGCTTTCATGTGAGGCCCACTTTGGAATAAATTCTGGCTTTTGTGTTTTGCTATGTATACTATTATAAAAAATGATGGCACTGCATAAAGTTTAAATTTACTGTGTTCAGCAGAATTGTGAGAATCTGACATTATTGATGAATATTTAATAGAGGATAAAGTAATATAGTGATTGCCTCACCAATTACTTAAAAGATATCTATGAGTAATTACAAACAATGGAGGTACAAATAACTATCTAAAATAATGACCATCTTTATATTGTTGAAGGAAACCTGTTCCTACAGTTATCAAATACAAGATTACTATTATATTTGTTTTGTAGTTCTATACATGGCAGCATCAAACTTAAAAGAATAGTCACTCCAGATCCTGAAGTCAATTAAAAAAACTAGGATTGTATATTCTGAATTTTTATCTTCTTTCTGATTTTGATCTTACCAAGTGTCAGTTTTTCTCATTGTTTGTGGATTGCATTATTAATAAAATAGAGAAAGATTTAAACACTGTATGTGCCTCTTGGAATGTTGCTGCAAATTAAACAATAATAGACGTTTAAAAATTGTTATGTGCCCAAGGGAAAAGAAGTTTCAGGTGTATGTAAGTAAATTCTTCAATAAGTTGATTTGCTTACCCCATAAACAAGTTCTCCTACCATCCCATTCCAGATTTTTGTGTCTGCATCCCTTGCTCCATATTTTCCATCAGGGACAATGGCAATTTTATACTTGATACCAATATGTTTTGCAATTTCAGATGCCAAATCTACACAGTATCCTTCATACTTGTCATTTCCTTCAAACATTTCATGATTTTTCTTGTACATAACATATGGGGATTCCTATAATGAGAGAAGTAGAACTGTAAAGGAGAAATTATAAAACATTTGAAAAACCTTATGTAACTTTCCAATTTCAGAATTTGACAAAAGATTGTATTTAGTATTGGTACACATACTGATTTGGTGTAGCTAGAAGTCAATAATAAAACAGATGAATATATAAGTATGCTTAGAAGAGATTAAATTGCTTTGCATTGGATACTAAAACTGAAATCTTTAAATTTCCATTTGAGAAAGTATTAAAAACCTAGCACTATGACTGTGGTGGGAGAAGTGCCAGTTAATAATTATCTAAAGAAGCATAAATTATATTCTTTGGCAATGAAATGAGTATTTCTAAAATATTTCATGAAATTAAAGATTATTCAGTAGTCAGCTTCACCTCATAAAAGACTAATTCAAGGTCACAGGTTTCCATATTCTGCATCTTATTTAGCCACATTCAACTGTGACTTCCTTTAAGAAAAAGGTTACGTCATTTTTCTTTGATCTCTAGTGTTTGGCAAGATGCTTGTCTCAGAGCAGGCACTTGGTACACTATCATTCAAAGAAAAAATGAATCAATAGTTAAAAAATTCTTAAATAGTTATTTGCATTAAATCTGCTTTCCTAATGTTGTCCAGTATTTTGGCTTTAAGCATGGTTTGTGCTCCATGAAATTTAATTATATTATAAAACATTTCCCTAGTGATGCTGATAATTTTCCTCCAGTTGTAATGAGCATACACTTGAGGTGATACTCCCATTTAGTTTTCTAAGCAAGTGAGACAGAAAATTTGATGAATAATTATGGTGAAAATCCTGATAAAATGAAAAAGTTTATCAGTGGCTAATAATTACTGGACGGTTTTCAGTTACACACACACACACACACACACACACACACACACACACACCCTTAAACCAAACCATTAAAAGACATGCACTAAAGAGACATTTTAGCAAAAAGCACTTGATTTTGTAAGTGGCACCTAAAGCCACCAACCAAAGATAAACCTGGTGAACACATAATATGGAGAGAGTCCCTGGTCACATCTGAGTTTTTCCAGTCATTTGCAGACAAGGAGTGACCACCTTTGGCTACAACATTATTGAGATAATGTATTCATATTTTATAAAATTGTACTGTAACATTTATTTGGTAATCTGTCATAAAAGTCTTTTCTTTTTCCCCAGAAAGTTCATAATTGGGGAAGTTGAATTTGCTCTTAAAACTGTATAATAGAAGGTAATTTACTTTGCATGAATAACATGGCAACCTACACTAATTCTGATTTTGTTTTTAAGTACTTCATAAATGTAGAACCCCTTTTAAAAATTTAATAAAACATGTGAATTATAGGACATTTTATTTTCTCATAGAGATGCCCTAAATAATTCTACAGTGGGCAGTTATCCAGGATTGGTCCTTCTACTGTGTTCTTAAATCCTGCCTTAGGTTGGCATGGCTAAATGACCCAGAAACCTCCCACTTTTTTTAATTTGATGAATATTCTAACCCTGGAATCAGGTAAAAAGTTCTTCCACACATAAAAGTAAGGCATCCAATTGCCTCTTCTTTAGATAGATGAAAATTATGCAGTAGTTTATGGAAAACATTGTGAAAATATAAAGAGTTTAGCAAATGTGGTTATAAAATTGGTGAATTGTGGTTATAAAATTGGTGAATTGTTGCAAAGCATTATTATTTTCTAAAATATGCTATAAAATATTAATAGTTATTAGGAGCTAATTCTTATATTTTCTCTTTTTTTTAAAATAACCTTTTTAAAATATGGAAGCGTCCTTAGAAAAAAGCAAGAGCCACATATATGCAAAATGCTTAAATTCAGATTGAAATGGCTGTACAACTACTATCTGTAAGTGTAACAAGTTTGAGAGTTTTTCAAAAGGGGTATAGCAAAGGCTCCATTTGGTACTACAGTTGAAGGTCAATTCACAAGTGTCTGCAATATCTGAACACATGAATTTTTGTACTCAAGTACATATATTACTGTATTAGTTTGTGTGTGCAAGTTTCTCTAGCTAGTATTTATAATCTAATTTGCTAAATGCCCTCTACATTACATAATGAACAATTTACTTCAATAAAAACTACATATTTGTTATTTAATCAAACATTTATTAAGCAGCTACTGTGTGCCAGTCAGTTTGCTGGGTGATAGGGACACAAAAATAAGTCAAGTGTGCCCCTTGATCTCTTGCAATCAAAGTCACTATAATTTTTTTGTAATAATGGCAAAGGAGTATAAGATGTGGGGAACAATAATAAAATATAGCAGTGAAAAACAATGGTAGCTCTTACTTATTTAGTGCTTACTATGTATCGGGCACAATGTAAAGTTCTTCATGTCTTTTCATTTACTTTTGACACTGGCACATTGAGGTAGGCATTTCCCATTTTGCAGATGGGACAGTGAAGACTCAGGGAGGTTAAGCCAGTTGTTCAATTTCACAGAACTAACAAGTGAAAGAGGTGGGAACTGACCCTGTATTTTGATATTTTGTTTTGTTTTTGTTTTTGAGAGACAGTCTAGCTGTGCTCTATCACCCAGGCTGGAGTGTAGTAGTGCGATCTCGGCTCACTGCAACCTCTGCCTTCCGGGTTCAAGCGATTCTCCTGCCTCAGCCTCCCAAGTAGCTGGGATTACAGGCGCACACCACCACTCCCGGTTAATTCTTGTATTTTTAGTAGTGATGGGATTTCACCATGTTGGCCAGGGTGGTCTCAAACTCCTGGCCTCAAGTGGTCCACTTGCTTCGGCCTCCAAAAGTGCTGCAATTACAGGTGTGAGCCGCTGAGTTTGGCCGACCCTACATTTTGAAATATCTGGAAATTTTTGAAGCTATTTCATTTATCAGAATATGTGCAATTAATTGAGATTCCATATGACTTAATGAAATATCTGGAAAATTTTGAAGCGCTTATTGCATTTATCAAAATATATATCATTAATTGAGATTTCATATGACTTAGGGAACAAGATTAAAGAAATGCATTTCTGCATTTTTATGAAATTCATTTAATGAAATTCTTCATATGATCTTCTATGTAAACAGTGTAGATAAAAACCTTTCAATGTATTCTCATAGTGTCTGGCATATAGAAGGCACTAAATAAATACAAAGATATCCTGGCCTATCAGTGTTTCCTAAATAGTATCTTTATAAAGTAATTTTATTAGAAATTCTGATTCAGGTTTTCTAAAGGAAAGTAAATATTAACAAGCGCTAGGTTATCTCTTCTGAAGCAGGCCCATGTCTATTTGAGAAAATATTTATCTAATGTCTTTCATTTTTTCAGTTTTTTCTTTCTTTTTTATTTTGGACAGCAGGGGTCCATCAGGTCATTGTTTTCCTGCTGAGCAAACCAACAAAGACTAGAAAAGGCTTCAGCTTACTGCAGATGTTGATTAGAAATGCAGTTAGACTTTTTGCCTATCCAGGGGCATAAACAATTACTGAGATTCAAGATGAGTGATGCAGACAGCATAAGAGAAATGACATGATCGCACCCAGGGAGGTGGGGAGGTTTAAAGGAGAGAACGGCTAGGCTTTCCTTGAACGATGTCTCCCATGGTTGCTCAGCTCTGCTGTTTCTTTGACTGTGTTTCATTTTGCTTTGCTTTCCTTTCATGTCAAGTCCAAAAGAGTAGCAAATACTCAACATTCGCCCAACCTCCTCATTTCCCCCATGCTCAATCTGGCAAGTTGTCTGCAAGTAGCTCTTCAAACACTTCATATTAGAGTTAATACAAAGGTAGGGGGCTACTATGGGGGAAGAAAATACAAAATCTTTTCAATATAATAAATTCCAGAAAATCATTAAGGAGGATTTGTGGGGTATCTTTGTAAAACAGCCTTATGAATTCCCAAGTGTTCAATTTTGAATAAAAATGGAATGATCAGAAGGATAGAGTAACCTCTTTTTTCTGTCTTATGTATACAACCTGCCATGATTATTATCAACTACTGTGCTTTGCAGGACAGTAATTTCTTAAAAGTTATTTAAAATGTATTACTTCTTAGTGAATATGAGTTGTATATTAAGATAGCTTCTCTAATGAATGGGGTTCTACATCTGCTCTGCTTTTCAGGAGATAAATCACTCTCTGTTTAAAGCTGCTACATTAGGGCTTGTTTATGAAAGTATTTATGTAAATTAATTATGATGATTTTTAATCAATAAAATATAATTTTCCTACCAAGGAGATTTTTCTGGATTATTTGCATTTAGCAAAAGTGGAACTATCGAAACAAAATATTTATTAGAAAGGCTTCAAAATTTTCTAAACATTACAAATATAATTATTACAATTACTATTGAAAGTTGATAAAATAATGAGATCAGTGTTAACCAATGTTGTTTCCTATGTGGATATTTGGTTTTCTCCAAAAAATCTTAATGGATGTAGATAATTTATCCCATGGATAAAATTCTTAAAAGTGAAAATTAAGATATTATTATTCAATTCAGAAAAAAAATTAGTAAATCTAATGGCTGAAAAAATTTAAATTTAGCCAAAATTATTTAAAAACTAACTGATTTATAAGCTCTTCAGTGAGTGATGTGAAATAGGAAAATTAATATTTTGTATAAGGAAGAAAATACATTTTAATTTTCTGTATGTATGTCTGTATATATATATAATACATTTTATATAAATATGCATGTGTATGTTATTATAATGCACATATATATGTATAGTGCATCTACAGAATTTTACATAGAGAAGAAAAAATATCAAACATCTTATAAAAAGTACAAAAAATAACCTCTGGAAAGATCATGTGTGATAAGGGTAATTGCTTTTAGGTTTGTAACATAATTCTGATACTGGAGTGAATAAATTTAGTTTTATGGAAAATTTGCCTAAAGGATTGTTGTGTTCATGAGATGGTAAGAAAATCTTTGTAGTTGAGCAATGCATCATAAGCATCCCTTAACTTCGGTAGTAAAGCTTTGGGGAAAAAAGGAGCTTGTCTGAAACATCACTGTATTATCTCCCCTTTTCCAGAGAGTTCAATAGCCAAGAAAGTAGTTAGATTACAGAGGAAAACAGCACCCTCCCTTCTCCCAAGATCTACTGTAAACTGCTTTTCCCTCAATTGCTGTATTTATCCAAACCACATGGAATAGATTTGGCTTCTTTGGGTTATTTGCAGAAATGATTACTTTTAATACAAAAAGTTAAATCAATATGGTCACAGTCTTATAAATTTTATTGATTTTATAACATTTTTAGTCAACAAGACTTAAAGATAAAAATGATGATATTAATTTTATTTTCTATTAGATTTTGCTGTGGTATATTCAGTATGATTATATTCAGGTAGAATAAATTCATTATTAAAATGAAAATCACATTGTAGATATACAACACTGTTACAAGAAAAAATAACTTTCAACAGCCATAAAAGCTAACACTACATTATATTTAATAAAGATAGCTAATATAATTCTTAATTATGTTTCTGGTCTGCTTTCTCTCAATATACTATAAGTTTCATTGAGTGCAGGATTTTTGTCTGTGACATATCCCCAGGGCCTAGAACTGTGCCTAGCACATAGCAGACGCTCAATAAATATTTATGAATAACTGAATTTCTCAATCAATTTTATTTAGCAATAGCATATAGTGTTACAGTGTATCAACATATAAATAAGAACATACACAAAGGACAGACAACTGGAAGAACAATAACACCATATCAATTTCAATCAAAATGAATTATATCCAGTGCTCACTCTCAGCCTTCTATATCTAGATATAGGTATCACATATATTAAAATGTCTAGCCAATTCCATCTGTGTTGGGAGTTTTCAGCTGAATCTGGGGATAATTACATGCAGATGCCAATATCTTGTTTATCTACAAGGGATTTCTTTCATAATGAATGAAGTGGAGGGATATCATAGGTCCTGGACTACCGTTTTCAACAAAAGCAAATTGAAGGAACACTTTCAGAAAAAGGATTCTAGTATGTCTTTTTGAATTACTGAACGATTATGCAGTTGCAAATATCAGAGGTATTATTTATATAAAGATTACATTTTCATACAAAAAGATACTAGTATTATACTATTTTGATAGCAAAAATATTGATGGCTTTACTGTCAAACAACATATAACTTTACAGAATATCCTTTATATATATATATAAATATATATATATTTATATATATATAAAACAGTTGGATTTTTTCAGTCATTTTTAGTCTTTTTTTTTTTGATAGCATGCTTCCTAAAAACTAGCCATGCTTGCAAAATTAATTCAGTATTTTGGTTTTAAGATTTATTTGTCCAGTCCCTTTAGTAACAAGGATGGAAAGGAGATTCTCTATATCATACCTATAATGCACATTAAAACACTTTATTTCACACAGAACAGGCAAAATTCCAAGAGATCTTTAAAGAAAACAACTGTATATATTCAGAAAACAAGCACACAAATTCCGAGATATTTACTTATAGAAAATCTACCCTTGGAAATGGAGTGATATAATTCCATCATTTACATACAGTGACCTCATTTCAAGATAGGGGAATTGATATGTCAGAATCGCTAAGTGATTCTTTGTCAACATCTATTTCTTGAGAAAGATGAAGATTAATTCTTCTTTTGTTCTAGTATCTCAGAAAAGTCACAGAACTTAAAATTTTTTTTTTCTGGTAGTCCAGAGTTGGTCATCCAAGAAGAATCCCACATGAAAAATAAGCTTAAATTTACTACACTGGAGAACAAGACTTGAGCCTTAGTTAGGAATGGTCGAACAGCGCGGAACTCTTTTCTTTCTTGATCAATTTCTTAAAATAGGATTCTTCATCAGAGGCTGAAAAGAGGAGGACTGTACTGAAGTATGACTTTCCATTACTGTGTCTTTTTTAGGAAAAGAAACATATATATATATATATATATATATATATATATATTGCTTTTCAAGTCCCATGCAAATATTACACAATTAAGTTAGAAAGTTTACGCAAAAACTGCTGTTGGTTGGTTTGCATTCTAAAATCATAAACTTCTGCTGAAGGCTTGTCAGATTACATTAAATTACTGACTGGTGATGCAACACAGTTAAAACTAAGTACAACATATGAAGGCTTCTCTCTGGCATTTTCATGCTTTAACCTTAATATCACTTTTGGGAACAACTCAACATTACTAAAAACCTGAAACTAAAATGACAAAAGCTAAAAACTAAATTACATAAAATACTTCCATTGTATTTAGAGTAAGGTTTCCATAAAGATTTAAAATATGTTTTGCCTAAAGAGACGTGAGCTGAGTATATATAACTTTAAATGAGATAGAAAAGGTCACCGATTGTTGATCTCTTTTGACTAGCATTGACTTTAAAGGGCATGTTTGACTTTAGAAGAGAAAAATATATAAGATATTCTATTATTTAAAAGGTAATTTCATGAGAATCTCTTTGAAAAAGCAGCCTTAAAATTTAGAGGATTTTTCATTTTTTGATGTGGCCAAATGAAGCAATCGTATTCTTCTTAATTTTTAGAAGTTCAATAAACTATAATGTGTACTTCTCACTGGTTAATGAGAAAAATAATCGGTGGAAGAAAACCCTTTTCTCATTCAAAATAAAAATAAAACAAAATTAATTCCTAAATCATTTAGTTATATAAATCATGCTCATTAAAATCTTCACAGTCACATCTTCACTATTGTAAACAGACAATACAAATCATTATCCGATGATTGAACTACCTGAAAATTATAATTTTAAACACTATTAATTATTATTACATTGACTTTTTAAAAACATAGTAACAATAATAATATGTTTACTACTGGATATATTTATGTGATTGGTGGTTGACCTTTGGCATGTTCACTGTTTTGTGCTTTAGGGTCTTAGCATTTCATACATTTCCAACTAGAGTTTGACAGTCTCAATTTTTAACATCTGAGCATTTTTCCAAGAACAACAATGTGACAAAAGATAATACAAATAAAAGTACTATATGAACTCGAAGCTTAGGATGAACCTATTCAAAGCCTCAATAGGATTTTGTGGATCAGAACACCCATGTCACCATTGCTAACAGTCAGCTTTGCCCTCCCTGTTCACCGTCGCTGGGGAGTTAAAATTGCCTGTGGACAAAACGGAACACCATAAAGCATAGACCAACACTTACCATAATTGTGGTTACAACCACTGTTCTGTTCTCAATAGCAGCTGTGTCATTGCCAAGAGTTGGTACATCTTGAATCAAGACTAACTTATCCATATCATTCCAGTAACCAACCTGCCAAATAGAGAACATGCTTGAAAACATATTTTAGAAGCATTTACTCTAGTTCTTCTTAGAAAAATGAAGGGTATGAATAGGTAAGCAAACAAAACAAATGTAAGCAAACAAAACAAAAGCCAACAGAAAAAAAAAAAGTGTTCAGAAGTGTTCTTACTTGCTCATGAGTCAGTTTTCCTGGTATTAAGGATCCTGTCTTGTTACATGTTTGGCAAATTTACTGTTTACAATAGTGGAGTGACCAAGAGATTGGGAATGGTGATTCCAAAAGGAATATGAGCACGGTGCATTATTTTATGCAGATCCCCTCCTCTAGTGAGATAGACTGGTGCCCCCTAAATTAATTTGTGTGGCTTTATCAATAAAGTTACAGGTTGTATAGTAAAGGGAATAGCCAGATTTCTAAGAAGAACATGTACAGAATATTTTCAAGCAAAAGAAACTTGTATATTTTTAAAGCAAAACAGGAGTGGTTTTGGGTTTGATATAACCTAGCCACTAGGTAACAATCTTACCATTTTTTGAAATGCTAACTACATCAGAGATGAATATTAGTGGTCAGTGTTTTCGCTTTCAAATATTACATTTAAATTTGTATGTTTTTCATTTAAAATTTTTTTTATTTAGAAGTCAAACACTTTTTCCTAAAAATGAATTAAGTAATTACTTAAGGACTCTGCAAAGTAGTAAGCTACAATGGGATCTTAATGGAAATTTAGGATTCTTTGTTTTTTGCAGACCATTAAGCAATAATAATGGCTACTACATATTGAGTGCTTGCTCTGAGGCAGACAATGTACTCAATGCTTTTTAAAAGTATACGTCTTAAAGTTAATACACATACCCAGTATGGAGTAGGGGCAGTTATTGTCCACATTTTAGAGATGAGGATTCATTTTAGAAGGCTAAATAAATTACACAAAGTTACACTTTAGTAGGGCCTGAATTCAAAACTCAGGTCTATATGACACCAAGTCTACATGCTTTGCTATTATGCTATGCGACCTTCTAAAATGGGTGTTCATTTAATGCGTGACAAACTTCTTTCTTGAATTTCTTGATTCAGTTGATAAAACTCATGTCTCCAATAAAATGTATGCATTTGCTCACTGGTCTGTATTCACTATTTGTTCTAATATGTTTTGGAAGTCTCACTTGCCTAATTCAAGTTTCTCAACTGCCATGTTAGTATTTATGAGCATATTTAAATAGAGTAAGCATTAACGTGTCAGAAAGAGGCACTAGATTATTCACAAGTGTTGCATATATAATTCAATAACAAAACAGATGGAGAAAAAGACTTTTTATTAATACGGCTTGCTACACTTCTTGGTTTGATCCAAAATTATAAGTTCAGCAAGTTTTTTCAATAGTCCCTGTGAATCAATCTCTGATTGACATTTATTAATAATTATGTGAAATTTTTAATTTAAAACAAGTATATATTTGAGACCCACCCTCTCCTCAATTCTTATGTGTACTTAAGTCAGTTGATTCTTGTTAACTCTGCTTTCCACATGACAGTTATATGACATGAAAAGGGGTTTTACAGTTTAGCACTCCATTAAAATGCACCCACCCTGAAGATCTCATCAGCCAATTTTCAGGAAAGACAATTTTTCTTTATTAATGAGTTCCACAACAGAGAGAATCACAGATCTGGGATACATTTTTGGAGAGTACCTAGATATTGGCAAGACCTTGACATTTTGCATTTAAAAACTAAACCATGGGTTTGCAGTTATTCTCCTTTTAAAGATAAATGATTCAGAAGTGCTGGCAAATTAAAATAATAAGCAAACTTTATTTTTTTTTTTGGCCTTATACCTATATGCAATTCTGGTTAAAAAAAAAAAAAGAGAAAGTCATATTTTGTGATATGGGACCAATTAATGGTAGATTTCATGTGGACCATGGGCTTATTTAGAAGTAAGTCCACATGAGGGGTCAGTTCCTAAAGAAAGGAATCCTAAAGTTTGGACCCAGACCTCACAGAAGATGGAATTTCTCTCTCTAGTCTTCACAGCGTTTTGCATTTTATTAAGAACTTTTCCCATGACTGATTTCATTTAATTAGACAGGGAAATGGATATTTTTCCTATAGACAAAAAGTGAGTGAAAAGTGGTTTTGTAATGCTAGAGCAAAAATATGGAAGCATTTAAATCACTAAATTGATAAGGGATGTCAGAAAAATATTCACCTTCTTTGGACTCCTAAAGGTGATTTGTATGCAAATGTAACTATACTAAGATATGTGAGAAAATGTGTCTGTATTTAGGATGATCTTGGCCTAGAACATAGAGAACAGATAGGGACTGAGCGGCTGTGAGGAGCTCCTGTTCTACTCAAAGTTGGTTCCTTGGAGAGCTGCTTTGATCAGACCTGCCCTGAAAAATCTGACCTAATTCCCACACCAGCCCTAAACCCTTATAGGCAGTGGGACTGATGATGTTTCAAGATCTTGAAACCTGAGTCAAGATCTTGAGTGATGCTCTAGAGCTTCAGGAATTTTGGTTTGAGCTGCAGGAATTTTGGTTTCTACTGCAGCTCCACCTCTTTCTAGCTGAGCATCTCTGAGCAGGTTACTTAGTTTCTTTGAACCTTACTTTTCGATAAAAGGAGAAAAAAATATATATCTTATTTTTAGGTTGTCATGAGGATTGAATATAAAAATGCACATCAATTTTCCATTACAGTGTGTGGCATATAATGTGCTCTCAATACATGAAATTTTTACAATTAAAGATTTCTGAAACCATGCAGCTCTGGAGCATTCCCTCTGGAGCCCTGGATGGGGGTCACTGGAGTGATAAGAAGATTCTGCTGTACTTAGCAGCTGGGACTTCAGAAAGAGCTTTGTGGCTTCTGCTTAATGAGACTCTCTATCAGTTTTCCTGTTGCAGAAGTCAGACAAACTGATGGGTTGACTCTCTGATCTGTTTTCAAAGATAGCTCCCTTGCTGGCAAGTGTTCAATTTACAAGAATGATTGCTCACTTCTCAGACACATTGCCTAGTTTCACCAGCATAGTGTCTCTCATGGTAGCTCATTTTTAAGTTTAATATTCCTGACACAATGCCCGAGTTGATCGTTGCCATGGAAAAAAGAAGATAGATGAGTCTACACCATTTTATACTTCATATTTCTTTTAAGAGCCTTAGATGAGTGTCAGCTGGGTGTGAAGATGCACTGTTCATCACTCTCCCAACTTACTCCTTAAGTTTCTCTTTGAAAAGTCTTAATTTTTGTTACCATCATGGTTCAATAGGCTATGAAAAGATTCAGTACTATGAATAGCCCACTTCATATTACTGCTAGTTAGCACCAGCTTTCTTTTTCCACTATTCTTTCTCTTATAGAGAATGATTTGATGTTCTGCACTTATAGTTTTGTAAAATAAGTAATTGTCATTTGCGTTTTAAAATATTCTGTTTAAATGGCAAATTTTGCAAGGTCTGGTGTGTGGCAAGGAGGTGAGCCAGTCTTACCTTTGTCCATCTGTTAGCATTTAGCATTGTCCACCTGTTAACATTTTTAGGGGCCTGTGGAATATCCTATCTGCTCCCCAGCTAGCAGAGGATCTCTAATGAAAACTTGCCTCTTTTTTGTTGCTGGCTGTGTGCTGGTAGAGTGGGCTGTTCTTAACATCTCCTTCCCTTGCTTCAGTCAATCTCCTTAGAAGAGCCTGCTGTGAGGTGCAGCTGGGCCCCCCGGCTGCCATCCATCTCCTGCCACTCCTGATCTGGATCAGGTAGGCTCCAGCTTACCACGTATTAGCTGGCAGCCTGCACGAGGGCTATGCCATTAAGAAGATGGAAATCTAGAGATGGTTTTCACGGCAGCTCCAAACTTCTCACAGATACAGAAGCACACCCATATTGTAGACTGAAGCAAAACGCAACTGGGAAAGCCTTTGCCATTTTCCATATATCACCTTAACTTTAATGGTCCTGCCTCCAAGCCTTTCTTCGGTTGTTGCCCCTTCCATTTCATCCTATCCAAACTCTAACATCCTGGCAATTTTAAATCCCACCTCCTCCATGCAGCCTTCCTTTCTTTGTTTTCCTCCAGCAGGAAATCATCTCTTCCTATGTAGATCAGTAAGGGAGAAAATACTAAGAGTAAAATATGTTTTCTCACTTACAGGCTTTGGATAAGATAACTTATTGGGCCATAATTTTCTCATTTGAAAAAAAGAGAAATACTACTACTCAAATTATAGGTTTGTCATGAGGATGGAATCATGCAAAGCACCAAGTCCAGTGCTTAGGACACAGCAGGCATTTCATAAATTGCAGTTATCATTACATAAAAACATGAAAATATATTTTGGAAATTTTTTTTTTAAACAGCCAAATACAGCTTTTAGATAAGGTTAACTTGAATATCTGTTTCCCTGAACATCCTAGTTCCTAGATAAAAGGAATGTTAAAAATTACATGAGTTAGCTACAAAACACTTATAACCAATTACTGTGGTGGGGCTGTATGGTTGCACTGTATAAAGTACTTGAATGCTGGGAAGACCGCTCCTATACCTATTCACATCTTACCACTAGATAATTATCTTCCCAAATCCAGGAACCTAGCACCAGCACCTTCCTGAACAACTTAGATGTTTCTCTCCCTCTCAGCCTAATAATAATCTTACCATCCATCTTCTTTCTCTTTTGGTCATTGAAATTTATCTAGTTGATTACTTCAAGAACACCCAGCCTATTCTAAATATGTTCACCCATTAGAAGTAGTTTGTTTGTACTTGCTCTAATAATTTCATAAATGACTACCTTGAGGTGCTTATGTCTCTTTACTGCTTCGTGTTCTCTTCTGCAGAGCCAATTTTGTTTTGTGGGATTCTTTTTGCTAACCCCACCCAAAATATTGCATCCATTTTGGATAAGAGATATAAACAGTGTATAAATTAGTTTGTTTCAGCTTGGGCACACTACTAAATACAATTACATGACACACACATTTATCACAGCATTGATTATAAAGAAAGTACTAAAGTATTTGTAAGTACTCACAAAAAAAGGAAATGTTCAGCCATCTTTCTTCTGTACACCTTTAAAATGTTACATACAAACTAAGAAACAGAGAATTCTGTTTTTCAGTTTGATCGTGGCTCACCTTTCTAGGTCCTGTGCTTTTCAGCTCAAACACATCCATTGTGTAATTGACTCTACGTCCATAGTGGTCAAACTGAACATTCCCTGTCAGCCCTTGAATTCGAACCTAAGTGAAAAAGAAAACCACACGTGTTCACTTGCAATTTCACTTATAGGAATTTTAACTTCATCTGCTGGGCTTATAACTACTTAAAAAAGTAGAACTATAAACTATAACCAACTAACTGAAATGCCATTAGGTATTTGAGCTATTGGGATAGCATCTGAAATAGGAATATCAAAGGGATGTATAAGCAATTTTGCTATACCCCTGGAAGAGGAATATGTTTTATTTGTTTTTACTATTATAAAGTTTCCATTTTTAGTCGAAGAATCCTCCCTCAATTGTAAAGTATTTTTATAGGAATGGCAATTTTTTATGGTTACTTTTCAGTTTTATCTATATATCCACAAAATGGATTAAATAACCCTGATACTTATGCCAGATCATATTCTCACCTTGCTAATATTAAAATTAAGATATAAGAAGCAAAAAGTATAAGGACATTTTTGAAAATATTGAAATATATTTTATTCCAAATTTCCTTTTAATTTGCTTTTACCTATGTTTTGAACCTGTGACATTTCAGAACATTTAAAATGTAACATTAAATATGTATATATTACCTTAATTATTTGAACAAATAGTGTTAGTATAATTATAAAAGACTAAAATAAACTACTTAATCCAAAGTTACAAAGCAATTTAAAGATCTCCAGAGGTAGTCATTATTTCTGGTTCTGGTATGTTCCAGGACCCAAGTGGGCTTATACTTCCTGAACCCCTTGTGGTTAGCTAGGCCCATGAGACTCTTTCTGACATATGAGTTGTAAATAGGCAGGACAGGTGATATTATCAAGCCACAGAATTTAATTGCCAATTTGAAACCTGCCCCCAACTATCCATTTCCCTTTGCAGAATTCAAGATGGTAACTGCTCTGCAAGCCTACGTCCTCGAGTGATTACAATTAGCCAAGAGCCCCTGCTAATCTAACGTGTGTCTGAATAAGCAAAGCTCCTTTGTTGTTTTGAGTCACTGTGATTTGGGTTTTTTATTACTGCAACATAACCTAGCTTATCCTGATTATGCATCCACATAAAATGTAAACAGCAAGATTCTACCTTGTATTTTATGTAGAAATGTTCCAAAAATGATGGCTTGATATATTTAAGTAGCAATTGTAATATGTATTTGTGCTTGGATAAATTAGTCTGTTTTTTGAACATTCAGTTAAAACAAGACCATGAAATGAATTGAACTTAAATAAAATTGTGAGTTACCTGTTTGAGTGTCCTCTCCATGTCAATTCCCTGGCCCCATGGAGCAGCAGGATTTGCCAGACAATCCCCAGCATTTCCTCTCCTTGAGATATCAATTTTCTGCCTCCTAAGACTTCGGAAAGTTTCAGCCATCACAAGGACTCCATCATAAGTCAGAGCAGAGGTGTACTAACCAAATGAAAATGAACATAATGGTAAATGTTAAAATCTTATCGAGTGCCAGAAATGGTCTGGGGTCTTTGTAAGTTTATGACATAAAGCACCATTCTGTCTGAAGGATGGTTAAATTACTGATAATTAATTGACTCTAGCTTCAGAAATTTCTATTCTTGCTTTAATATAAAGCCTGTATACCAAATCTTATCATCCTGACTTAAAAAGGAGAAAAACCATTCTGAAAAATAGAAATTCCAATAAAACAGTTTTCCATCAATTTGGAGAAGAAAGACCCCTAGGCAAGGCCTTTCTGTTGTGTCCCAGTACAAATAGCTAATGTATCAAAGGCTAATGCAGCTTTGTAATCTGCCTTGTAGTCGGTTTCTGTGGTTGAACCCCAGGAGGGCTGGGCCTCTTAATCTTTTCCTGCTCCAAAAGGCCTAGCAAGGTTCCCTGAGATTTAATATAAGTTCATGGACTTGAAGTATCTATCTTTGTTCAGTCTCCCAGAAGAATGAGTGGAATTGTTTATTGTTATTCAGAAATATGATGCCAGAAATAATATCTACTTATCCAACAAATGTGTATGCATCAGTGACTATGCTAAATGGGAATGGATATTGCCACACCACACCCAATGCAGGTGCACAGGAAGGCAAAGTCATTTCGTTAACCTAGGGTCAAAGTTTTCAATATAACCTAGGATCCAAGTGGAGATGTGAAGGGTAGACCATCTGCTTCTCTTTGAGAAAAGAGTGAGCTCCCCCCACCTCTGAGAAAAGATTATTAAGATTAGGGGAAAAAGTGAGGAAAGATTGAGATAAAAATGTAGTTTTCTAAATATAAAAATAAATCAACATGGGATCGCTTGTGGTAGAGACTTATTAGAAAATTCCTGAACACATGGAAATGGGGCACAATTTTCTTGAAGCATGACAGATCTACTTATTCAAAAAATGGGTATGTACTAGTCACTGTGCTAAATAGTATCAACTACTAACTACTAATCATGGCAAAAACTACATTATCTCCTTTAGAAATTCCATATGGTCAGTTCCTTATAATTAACACCTTCCATGCCTGTTTGAGCAGTAGATTTGTGCTGTAGAAAGTGGAGGATGATCTCCTTGATTTTGTGCTTTCAAATGAAGAAAAATCATTTGAAATTCCAATTGTAGAAAGTAAACTTAGGGCTGGGCATGGTGGCTCACACCTGTAATCCTAGCAGTTTGGGAAGTTGAGGTGGGTGGATCACTTGAGTCTAGGAGTTCAAGAGCAGCCTGGGCAACATGGCCACACCCCATCCCTACAAAAACTGCAAAACATTAGCCAGGCGTGGTTGTGTGCACCTATAGTCCCAGCTACTTGGAAGGCTGAGGTGGGAGGAGGATCGCTTGAGCCCAGGAGGTCAAGGGTACAGTGAGCAATGATTGTGCCACTGCACTCCAGCCTGGGTGACAGATAAAGACCCTGTCTCAGAAAGAAAAAAAAAAAAGAAAAGAAAAGAAAGTAAACTTAGGCAACACGGCCATGAGACATAGCAACCACCATTACAGGGAAGAGAAAAACTAAAACATGGATAAAATAAGGAGCATTAATTCTAACAAAGAACTGTTCAATAGTATAGGATATAACTCTTGTATTAGAAGGATTTAAAAGAACCATGTAAATTAAGAGCTTTCCTATATATTCCCCCAGGACATGATAAAACAAGCTTCTGGATAAATGTGCCCTTCACAATTGATTGGGATGGGGTAGCTGAGAAAAATTAAGGTGTTTAAGCAAGGTACTACACCAAAACTGAATGTGCTCCTTCTCTGCCTGACCCAACACATCTTTGAGTAGAGAAAGTCATCAAATCATCTTTTTTTCGTAAGGCAAGAAAATAAAAACGAGAAATAAAATGAATCTTGCCTAAGTCACAAAGGGCAAGAGAAAAATGCAATGCTAGTACTTGAGGACCAAAGGAGGAAAAAAAGAAAAATATTGCCACTTTTTCAACAGGAAGAAAGAAGCTGAGAAGAGATGGCACCAAAAAGCAAATGCACTTTTTGTGTTTTAAAAAGTTCGTTTATTTTTATGAAATATGTGAACCAGAAAAAAGAGCAGGTATCACACAGAGTGGTGCAGAGCAAAGGAGACATTCAGCCAGAGTGGCAAAGACCTGGGATTTGACAGGTCATAGAGCTGATAGACGGAAAGAAAAAGTAGTTTAAATCAGTTTTACCTTTTCAAAAGATATAATTCTTTTCTATGTGTCTTATTGTGCTATAATCCAGGAATCCACAGTTAGGGGCTGACAAGTTCTAGGTGGCACCTAGAATATTCTTACTAATCATTTCATTTTTAGGCAGGGTAAATAGTGCCCTATAGTTATTTACTGCTCTGATAAGTGATTAGAATGATGAAATGATTTCTATTTACTAAGATTTATAGATAACAAGACAGAATTGGGCAGAATCATAGTGCGGTAGAAAAAGTATGGACTTAGAGAAGAAAGAACTGGGATGAATTTTAATTCTGTGACACAGGTTTATGGGAATGTGAAGCACATTTTTTTGGTTATGGAGTATAAAACAGAGCAAAATGAAATGAAACAAGATAATAGTGACTCTCTATTGTGATTATTATGAGGATGAAATTTCATATCATATCTGAGAGCTCTTTGAAAAATGTACCAGACTCTAGCTAGGAATCATGAAGACTACAAAGATGAGTATTTGATGGTTACTGCCCCAGAGAGTTTATAGGAGTGAAACAGTAAGTGTGCAAATAATTATATGAAATCCCTGATGAGAATTGCCCAATCAAATACTATGGAGATTACAAGGGGGAAAGGAATCACATTTACAAAATATATATATATATATATTTTTAGTTCTTTTTAAATGTACAGTGAATTATTGTTGATTGTAATCACCCTGCTGTGGTATCAAATACCAGATCTGGGCCAGGCGCAGTGGCTCATGCCTGTAAGGCCAGCACTTTGGGACAGATCACTTGAGGCCAGGAGCTCAAGACCAGCCTGGCCATCGTGGCGAAACCCCGTCTATACTAAAAATACAAAGATTAGCCAGGTGTGGTGGGGCAGGCCTGTAATTTCCAGCTACTCAGGAGGCTGAGGCACGAGAATCGCTTGAACGCAGGAGGTGGAAGTTGCAGTGAGGGGCGAGATCGCGACACTGCACTCCAGCCTGGGTGACGGAGAGAGACTCTGTCTCAAAAAAATAAATAAGTCAACCTGAAAAAAAAGAAAAAAGAAAAGATTTCATAGAGAAAGTGGAATTTGAGATAAAGCCTTGGAAGATGGTTGGATTTCAACAGGTAGACATGATGGTGGAGGACTTTTGAGGTAGAAGCACGTGCACAGGGAGTGATAAAGGGTGGGGAAATGCAGGGCAGCTCACATTGGCTGGAGCATCAGAAAGGAGGCAGAGGATCATGCACTTGGAAAGGCCTGATTGGCCTATAGAATGGAAAACCTTGATTCCAGGAGATTTTTTTAAAGCAGGGAAGTGACACGATCAGAAGTCATGCTTTTAATCTTGGTTGAAAAATTAAACACTTAGAGTACACTTTAATTATAATCAATCCACATTATTTGTGGATTCTAAATTTTCAAATTTTCCTCCTTGCTAATATTTATTTGTTACTCTTAAATCGATACTTGTGGCACTTTTGTGGTTATTTGTGGAACTGTATAGAGTGGTGAAAAATTTGAGTAACCCAACACACAAGGTCCCAGCTGTGGCTGAACAAGGAAACACTGTTTCCTTGTTTCTGCTCTCATACTGTAAACAAGTGTCCTTTTTGTGTTCTATTTAGTGCCATGTTTTCTGCAGTTTTGTGCTTTTTGCTGATGATTTCACTGTTTAACATGGCCCAAAAGCATAGTGTTGATGTGCTGTTTAGTGTTCGCAAGTGCAAGAAGGCTGTGATGTGCCTTATGGAGAAAATGCGCATGTTAAATAAGCTTCATTCGGGCATGAACCATGGTGCTGTTGGCCAGGAGTTCAATGTCCATGAACCAACAATACATTAAATAAGGTTTCTTTAAACACAAACACCCATAAAACAAGGTTATATACTGAATAGTTGACAAAAAGTTTGTAACCAGAGGCTAGCAGAACTTAACCCTATATTTCCCCTGGAGCAATAGTTCTATATTTACTTATTCAGTATTTAAAGAGACTTTATAGAACATAACTGCTGTGAATAATAAGAACTAATTGTACTGCATTTATTTATTAAATGGCTACTGAATGCCTACCATCATGCCAAGAGTTGTGAAGGATGAGAGGATTATATAACAAAGAGAACAAAGCTATAGCATAGACAAGTCTAGTTGGATATAATCAAATAGGAGACATTAAAATAATTATATCCTGTGTATTCCATGAACCTGGTCCCTGACTCAAGGACAGCCAACTAACAAATCCATTTAATAATTTGCTTGTATTTATCTGTAAAATCAAAGGATTGGACAACAGTGCTTGACACATAGTGGACATCCATTTAATGTTCTGTTTTGAAATTCTGTGATTTTATAAGGCAGTGAAGATGGTATGCTGAGCTGGCCAAATTCCAGTATTTCAGAGAAGAAATGGACATAGCCAATATGAAATATTATAATTAGAAAATAGAAGCAGAGCTGAGGCCCTCTAGCCTTAGATCTTGTTTTTTCTAGGCTTGAGTTTCCAAATTATACATAAAACTTTTTACTGGAATACACTGTAAGTAAAAGATTAGCAAATGATGATGATGGTGCCTTATTAGGTAGGGGCTCAAACCACTAAGTTGGAATTTAAGAAACATTATGCCATAATTTAACATGAGGTCTAAGAAAGTCATCTATCTGTTTAGTTTGATCAAATATGCTTATGATCAGAAATTTACCAGCTTTTTCTGAGCAAATATTAATAGCATATGTTCACAATTTCAGTCAGAAAACAATGAAAACAACCTGATTTTTCACGTTAATTTGAAAGAACTTTTGCAGAAGCTTGTATATTTTACATTTCTGCTAAATTCCTAATTTGCCTACTCATTTTAAATCACTTCATGAAGATTTCTGTGTGGGAGAAAAGTTACGGATGCTCTTTCACATTTGAAGCATTTAGTTAACAATTAAAAAAAATTTAATTCTGAAAGAAAATTCATATGTATAGTACTGTAATAATAATAGTAAACTGCCTGAGCTAATGTCTAGAAACTCTACTCTTAAATACAGAAATTTAGAAATTATTAAGAGCATGTGCAAGGCAGTTATAAGGACAAAATGCTTTTTTCCCATGCCATACTATGTTTGGCAAAATGTTAATGGAAAAACTGTATAATAAACTTTTCATCTTAAATTTTGAAACTATCAGTAATACAGTAGATAAAAATAAACAAATACCTTTGGAGGAGTCTCAGATCCTGGATACTCTCTCTGATCTAGTTTCTTCCAGCGATCCATTAGTTTGATTACCATAGGTGTATTAAAATCCACCAACTGGAATCCAGTAACATTGGCTCCACCATGTATAAACCTCTCAAGAGAA
Organism: Homo sapiens; assembly: GCF_000001405.40. Taxonomy (NCBI): domain Eukaryota; kingdom Metazoa; phylum Chordata; class Mammalia; order Primates; family Hominidae; genus Homo; species Homo sapiens. The sequence continues at coordinate 105,898,282 of NC_000011.10, read as the reverse complement.
ATATCCTTGAATCCCTATAAAAATTAATACAAAAGATTGTTAAATTTAGTTTATTATACATGGCAGCTCTTCAATAGTAACATAAATTAATAACCTATACATATTAAAAGATTTTTAATAAAGCAATGGCTAAAAATGTGGAAAATGATAATAAAAGATGTGGAAAATCTAATTATGTCTATTTAGCTGTTAAATTCTGTAATTCAAAATCCAATACATGAGACAAAGATATGTTTTTATTTCAGTTCAAATCAAGTATTTCTTGAATGCCTCTGATTGCCTTTTATGAAGTATAAAGGGGGATACAGGAGATAAATATGATTGCATCAAAAAGTCTCCTATTTCTCACTAACTCATTCTATGAAACTAGTATCATACTGAAACCAACATTTGGCAAGGACACAATAAAAACGAAAACTACAAGCCAACATCCCTGATGAACACAGACATAAAAATCTTCAGCAAAATACCAGCACCCCAAATCCAGCAGCACATCAAAAAGATAACTCACTGTGATCAAGTAGGTTTTATTCCAGGGATGCAAGGATGGTTTAACATATGCAAAGCAATAAATGTGATTCACCAAATAAAAAGAATTAAAAACAAAAACCTTACGATCCTCCCAACAGATACAGTAAAAAGCATTTGATAAAATGCAACATACTTTCATAATAAAAATCCTCAACAAACTAGGCATCAAAAGAACATATCTCAAACTAATTAGAGCCATCTATGACAAACCCACGGCAAACATCATACTGACTGGGCAAAAGCTTGAAGCATTATTCCTAATAACTGGAACAAGACAAGGATGTCCACTCTCACCACTCGTATTTAACATAGTACCTCCAATCCTAGCCAGAAAAATCAGAAAAGAGAAAAAAAGGCATTCAAATAGGAAAAAGAGGAAGTCAAATTATCTCTGTTTACTAATGATGTCATCCTACACCTAGAAAATCCTAAAGACTCCTCCAGAAGACTACTATGTCTGATAAACAATTGCAGTAAAATTTCAAGATACAAAATCAATGCCCCCAAATCAGTTGCATTTCTATAGCCAACAACACTGAAGCTGAGAACCAAATCAAGAACTCAATCATATTTAAAATTGCCACACACACACATACAAAATATCCAGGAATGCATTTAACCAAGAAGGTTAGAGACCTCTATAAGGAAAACTACCAAACACTGATGAAATAAATCATAGATGACACCTAAAAATGGAAAAACATCCCATGCTCATGGATAGGAAGAATAAATATCATTAAAATGATTACATTGCCCAAAACAATCTACAGATTCAATGCAATTCCTATCAAATTACCAACATTATTTCTTGCAGAACTAGAAAGAACAATTCTAATATTCATATGGAACTAATAAAAAGCTTGAATAGCCAAAGCCACTTAAGCAAAATGAACAAAGCCAGAGGCATCACATTTTCTGACTTAAGACTATACTATAAGGCTATAGTAACCATAACAGCATGGTTTTGGTACAGAAATAGACACACAGATCAATGGAACACAATAATGAAACCAGAAATAAAGTCACATACCTACAACCAACTGATCTTTGACAATGTCAACAAAAATAAAGAAGGGGAAAGGATACTCTATTCAATAAATAATATTGGGGAAACTGGCTGGCCCTATGCAGAAGACTGAACTCCTACCTTTCACCATATACCAAAATTAAGATAGATTAAAGACTACATAAGATGTGAAAATACAAAAATCCTACTAGAAAACTTAAGAAAAACTCTTCTGGATATTGGCCTAGACAAAGAATTTATAACTAGGACCTCAAAAGCAAATGAAACAAAAACAAAAATAGACTCATGGGACTTAACTAAACTAAAGAGCTTCTGCACAGCAAAAGAAACAATCAACAGAGTAAATAGCCAGCCTACAGAATGAGAGAAAATATTTGCAAACTATGCATCTGACAAAGTACTAATATCTAGAATCTATAAGGAACTTAAATCAACAAATAAAAACCAAATAACCCCATTTAAAAAAGAGCAAAGGACATGAACAGATACTTCCCAAAAGACAACATACAAACAGCCAGCAAACATGTGAAAAAATGTTCAACATCACTAATCATCAGAGAAAAAATGAAAACCACAATGAGATGCCATCTCACACCAGTCAGAATGGCTATTATTTAAAACTCAAGAAATAGCAGATGTTGGTGAGGATGTGGAGAAAAGGGAAAAAATAAAAACTGCAACTGTTGGTGAGAATGTGAATTAGTCCAACCCCTATGGAAAACAGTATGGAGATTTCTCAAAGAACTAAAAATAGAACTACCATTTGACCTAGTAATCCCACCACTGGGTATATACCCAAAGGGAAGTAAATCATTTTGTCAAAAAGACATCAGCACTCATATGTTTATTGCAGCAGTATTCACAATAGTAAAGTCATGGAATCAGTCTAAGTGCCCCGAGAAATGGTAGTCCAAGAGAAGAGCACAAGATAGGCCATTCATGGACTCCTGTGTGGTAGGAAAAAAGATGGTGTCCACCAGATGGAGCGAAGAAGCTGGGAAGTAAGGATACTATCCCTTCTTGCCTAGAGGTAGTAATCAAGGATTCAAAAATTCTGGACAATTATTTATTTTCTCTCTCTCTCTCTCTCTCTCCCTCCCTCCCTCCATCCCTCTCATGTATCATATCTATTGTGTACACATTTTCTATTATCTATCCATGTATGTATGTATCTATATCTGTCCATTATCTATCATGTATCTATTATCTATCACCTATCTACCAATTATCTGTCTTTTATCTATCTTCCATCTATATATCTACCCATTTATCACCTTTGTTTTATACCTGGCTCCCTTTTATTGCCACTATTTTAGGTACCTTATAAAAATCCACACTCAATAAAAAGTGTAAAACAGATAATAGCAAGAAGAGAGCAAAAAGCCTATTAAGGAAGTGAATTAATAAAGCCATAGGTATTAGCTCAGAGAAAAGTAAATCACATACACACACACACACACACACACACACACGCATGAGCTCGTAGCTTTTGTAATTGCTTTCTTTTTGTTTTCTCTTAGTATTTAGTAAAGGTTCTTTTGCAAATGTGAATATGCTTCAATTTGCTGAGGGAATGAAGGAGAGTGTTTTGTTTATTTTTTGGTGGGAATAAAATATGTAGCAATAGGCCGGGCGCGGTGGCTCACGCCTGTAATCCCAGCACTTTGGGAGGCCGAGGCGGGTGGATCATGAGGTCAGGAGATCGAGACCATCCTGGCTAACAAGGTGAAACCCCGTCTCTACTAAAAATACAAAAAATTAGCCGGGCGCGGTGGCGGGCGCCTGTAGTCCCAGCTACTCGGGAGGCTGAGGCAGGAGAATGGCGTGAACCCGGGAAGCGGAGCTTGCAGTGAGCCGAGATTGCGCCACTGCAGTCCGCAGTCCAGCCTGGGCGACAGAGCGAGACTCCGTCTCAAAAAAAAAAAAAAAAAAATATGTAGCAATAATCCTGCAGTTAGAGTAAGAAGTAATGAGGACTTGGAGTTGCTTGTCCTTCTGAATGCACCTTGGCTATGGTTTTGGGATCTTCAGATTATTTGTTTCTTTCCTTCCCTCTTCCCTCCCTCCTCCTCCTCCTCCTTTTTCTTTTATAGTGAAGTAGATTGTCTTCCTAACCAACATATGTGCATTGCTGTTTGGCTATCTACGAAAAAATATATCAGTCTACTGGCAACTGAGCAAAAATTGCTGTCAAGAGGCCCAGGTATACGAGCTAACAGCTATTATATGCTGAGCTTATTATATGCCAGGCATTGTGCTAAGCGTATTACACAGATTATTGATCTAGTTTAGTTTTCATAACAAGGTTATGAGATAGATCCTATTATTGGCCTTATCCTAAATATATGAAAACAGGCTCGGGGGGGTGAAGAAAAGCTATTCAAAGCCATCCAGCAAATGTATGGTAGAGCTAAGATTCCAGCCATACAAACCACCTCTTGAGTTTGTCTTTTTCACCTTATACTCCTGCATATTCTTACACAGAGGTATTTTAAATTTTATTAATTATCATAATATCTATAGGAAAGGCAGTGTAATACTGTTTCCCCTCGAAAAGCCCACACTTTGAATTCCACATCTGTTACTTTCTAACCTTATACCTTCCACATTCAAAATGAGAATGAGAATGCTACGGTATCCAGCACATCTGGTTTGAATTCAGTAAATGATCACTATTATCAATTAATTCACTCAACAGATATTTATTTCATGCCTATTATATGCCCACTAATTTGACAGCTCATCAGTAACATTCTCATTTTGTCGATAAAGAAACTAGACGCCAGAAAGTAAACCTATGTTTCTGAAATGGGAAAAACACTGTCCATCAATCTCCAGCTAGTAAAATGTCAGTTGAACATTGGTTTGCTTCTATCAGAGTATACGGCAGACCCACAGGCAGGCAAATGATTCCAATGTTTTCTAAAAGCCACAGTAATTCAACTATTGCATTAGTTGCTAATTGATGACATTATTATTTTCTTTCAAACATGGCTGAAATAGAAGGTCTGCCAAACCTTCTTTCATAGCGTTATCCACAGCTGCAGCATAAAGAGGCAAAGCTGCAGCCTTCAGAAAAATCATCTGATGTAAAGTCTAGCTGATAAATAATAGTTCACATTTTCGAGTCCATCCTGTTCTTATGCTGAAAGTAAAGGGAAAAATTGCCATGTCTGATTATAAACCATTGTCAGTTATGATTTCAATGAATAGTGGGTGGCTCAGTTAATTTCAGCTATGTCTGTTTTGAGTACAGGCAATATTTTTCATATATTTTCATACATATTTTCTTACATATATTTTCTTTCATATATTTCTTTCATATATTTTCTTACAATTTCATATAGAAAATTGATAGGATCTAGACAGTGAAGCAGTTTTCTCAGAAACATTTATTTTGGTGGCCATTTTGATTTCAATTTTTATCCAAAGAATACAGTGGATCTGAGAGTTCCTGGGCAACATTGTAATAAAATTATTCACTCCATAGTCAGGAAGAAATCAGTGGTTAAGTGACTTCAGTAAATAAAGTCTCTGAGGGCAGGGGGAGATCATGGGAAAGGCTTTCTCTTGTTAAAATGGGCCACTACTTTGCTTGAATTTCACAATGGTTAATTACCACTCTCTAGATTAACGTCCAACTTGGTTTTTCTTTAATTTCTATTTGTAGTTCATACATCTTTTGGGGGAAAATAAAATGTTTAAAATTATAGGTATCAGATATCCTGATGACTATTTATGTAAATTTACAGGTCTATCATCACTGTTTAATAAATGCTTATTCTTTAAGTTCTACTTAATTCAGGTAACATTTCTGCTGTATTTTGCATTTCAGTTTCGTAGGTTGACTAAATTATATTGAGATAGCTCTGGTGCAATTAATGGAAGGAATGTCAAATAGAATGGGGGAATTGCTAGCTTACCATGTTGTAAAAATTAGTTAAGAAATTGACTTAAAGTATGTACTTTTCATATGCATGTAGATAGATGGTAGAGTCAGACATGCTCAATGCAGAAAAGTTAAAAAACGGGAAGCACAAAAGTAAAACAATGTCGCCAAGTTGATGGAATCTTAACTAGGGTCACTGCACGTCAATAAAAATGTGCTAGACTGCAAATTTTGGGAAGCATGTCTACTCTCCATTCTGAAACTAATCAAACACCTAAATGCAAACAAGTCACTTTGCTCTCTGTATCCTAATGTTTAATTTCCTTTATGTTCTGAATGAGGCGTGAGTGGTATATGTGTGTGACATGGTGGAGGATAGGTAAGAAATAGGTTCAGTTCATCTTTAATTATATATCCAGAACATTTTGTAATTTTATATCTTTTTAATGATTGAGCCAGGTGTTCTCCTAGATGTAAATTAAATAATACTTTTTAAATAAAAAATCTAAAGGAGAACAAGATTCTAAGAATTTGTCTTGGTAATGGGACAAATGTCAACTGTTCCTTTTTGCTATTGGTGGCCATATTTAAATTATTTGACTGGTAGAGGAGTGAATATCAATACAGAGCAATGTGTTTAATATTAGGTCCCCCTGACGGGTGCTGTGGGAGATGATTAAGTAAATGGTCACTTGGTGGCATTATTCCCTAAGTTATTTATTTTTTTGTGTATTTATTCTTTGCAATCAGACAGGCCAGAGCTTCAAACTTTTCTTTGAGAATTCAGATCTGCGAGATCTTGGGTAAATTACACTGAACCTCATTTTTGTATCTATTAAAAATCTTTTTCAAGGCCAAATTAAAGCAATTATAATAACAAAAACAATTACAATAACATAAGCTGGGTGCTAGAGGATAAGCAGGAGTTCAGCAGATAAAGAATAGGGATAAGGACTCTTTCATAAGGTTAACAAAAGGGACATTGTTCCTGCCTTCAGTGAGCTTGCAGTGTTTTATTTGCAGTTGTGCCGTGGGATGTTGGACAGTACCTGTTACAGAGGGGTTATAAAATAATAATTTGATAAATGAAAAAACAAGAATAAGTTCTATACTATGAGTACACAGGGTAGTTTGAGAACCCAGAGGAGGGACTATCAAAGTGGATATTTAGGGATAGCTTTCTAGACGTAATTGTAACCACTGACTAGGATTGGGTGGGGTAAACACCTCCTGATAGAGATAACAGCCTAAACAAAACTGGGAAGAGGAAAGCAGCATTAGGTGTCTGGGAATTAGTTTGGTCTGAAGAAGGGATAGTTGTGGGGTGGAGTGGGAAAAACTGTGGGGTCAAGTAGGGATAAAATCTTAAAGGGCTTTGTGCATTAAGTTCAAGAGTGCAAATCCTTTTTCCTAAAATATTTAAGTAGAGCAGTGCTTAGGTTTTCAATGCTTACTCTGAAAGATGGTGGTAAAAATTGGGGCAATGACTCAGAGTTGGGACAATATGTCATTTGGAGAGACATCCAAACTCTGAGGAGAAGTGAGACACGTATTAGCAAGTAAGTCTGGAAACCCCATGGGGAATCAGGTCATGAAAAATCTGATGTCTTTTACTGTATTTGCAGCCTGGGGCCAATCAAAGATTTAAGCAAACGATATCATCATACTTGTCTTTAAAAAACAACTGGCAGCTAAATGAAAGAAGAACTAGGAAAGAGAAAGTCTAGGGGCAAATTAGGGAAGCAATTTTCTTACTTGAATCTCTAAGAAACAGACTAGGATAAACCAACTGACAGATAAGGTTTTCCTGCCTCTACTTCTCTGGGAAATTTTTGGAACAGAGCTTAACCTATTGCGATATCATACGCTTTCACCAGTACCTCTAGATGATGGGTTTAATAAAACATACATGCACCTACATACAAATCCCATATAGGACATAGAAAAGAAAAAAGAATCGCAGCAATCTTTCATTTCTAGCAAGTTTTACTCACACTTAATGTGCAATTGTTAAATATAGTGGCAGAGATAATCAGAGAAATTTCAAGAATCAGGGAGGGGCATGCCCATTCAATTAGATATCAGGCATAGCTCATGCTGTTCAGATGATGTTAGCTCCCTGTGGCTCCTCTTGGACCTTCTGCAGGTTCAGGCTTGAGTATTAAGGGAAAGGATTTCTACTTCTTTTGGCCTGGTTGGAGGTGAGATGCCAGTACACTGCAATAGCTCCAAAAGCTAAGATCAGAGGGGCATAGAATACATCAATGTATTCTCATTTTATCAGGATAGAATGATGAAGGAGATTGAATGGTTGTTAATTGAAGAAGAAAAGTTCAACTTGTAGTTAATGACAAGACAATTTAAAATAATGCCAGAGAGCATTCATAACCTATTTGCATCCTTATTCACAAAGAAATTGCCTATTATTTTGTTTAATTACATGAAATCTGCTTTCTGTATTTCAGCTCAAAAATTTAAAGACCATTATGAAGCCAATATTTCAGTGACATTCCTTACTTTGTTTCTTGGTTTAAAAGATTATCATTTTTAAAGAATCTAAAGAACACCTATATTTAAACTCAGTTTCTCCAGGGAGTTAACCTTGTTTAAATAAGGGAGGTCCTTGACTTTTACAAAAATGCATGTCTGTAAATTCATGACCCAATTTCATGCATCCCATATTGATGTCTGCTGAATTTCATTGTTCTCTTTTTGGTAAATATGAGTTGGACTTCATACCTTCTGCTTTTATATTCTACATTATGACTACAGAATATTTTAAATATTCTGGAATATTTGTAAACATCACAAGTAAGAATTGTTATTGTAGAAATCAGTTTTTTACTAATACTGTTAAATCACCCTTGATGAGTTGGTTTAAGTATAGCAGTTCTCCATTAATTGTAAATTGTAATTGTAAATTATCAATGAAATATTTTCTTGGTTTAATTTTTAGAATATTATTGCTAGCATATAGACATACAATAAACTGTTGTATATTCACCTTGCATTCTGCAACCCTGTGGAACTTACTAGTTCTATAAATATTTTTTGATTCCTTAGTATTTTTATATACATATAATCTTCTTTTTCAATCTGGATGCCTTTTATTGATTTTACCTAAATATCTGTAATAGAACCTTCAGTACAACGTTCAATAGAAGTGGTGAGAGAGGACACTCTTATCTTGTTCCTGATTTTAGGGGAAAATCATTCAGTCTTTCAACCTTAAGTATGATGTTGATGTAATTTTTCATTTTGATTCTGGATTGACTTCACATTTGAGAATCTTATGCACATAGCTCTCAAAAATAGTTGTTGATTGGCTCAATAAAATAAAAACTACTCTAGTGTTATAAGTAATAGTCCTTTAGGGATAAATGAATAAGTCAATAGAATCCATATTAATACACTGTATTATAATGTATGTCCATGGCAGCCACTGATCTAATCATGTGTTACAAAGATATCAACCACATATAATAAAACTTGCTGATTTTTAGTGAAAGTGATGGTTCTAGTCCCTACTGCAAACAAAAATGGTTTTCTACTTCATATACTGGAACGCTAGATAACTTAAATACACTGCCATCTCCTAGGGCTGTTTACGATATCCTTTGTAGTATTACAAATATTAATTCATTCCATCTTGTATTGATTTATTTATTTTAATTGCCAATGTCAGCAACTCATTTCTGGAATGATAATCTACATATAACACATTGATTTTTTTCCCCTCAATTCTATTGTTTGTAAGAATAGATGACAAAACCTATTTGCTATAAAAGTCATTAGAGTCTCATTGTACATTTCACTGTACTTAGTTATCTCATAATCCTAAGTTTTTTTCTCTTATAGTAATTAATATCAGAATATATTTGTCTTAAATTTTATATTTTTATAAAAAATAGTGAAACACTCTACTAAAACAGCCTACTAAAAAGCAATGAAAAAGACAAGTCAAAATTTCTCAGTATTTTCATGATAATCCATTAAGTCGCAAGATTATACTTTATCTAAGAAACACAATATAATCATGGTTCACAGTATTTTGCTGTATTTTAATATCTCAGATCCACAACCAAACCCAGTTCACTAAAGACCGAAAATTCCTGTCTCAAAGTCTGACAGTCCACTTGCCATACGGAAAGAATGGGTAGATCTGAATCTCTTTTGCATCCTTTAGTTTCTTTCCTGTTTCAAGCGCAAGATAGTCATTAAAAAAAAGTGTCATAAAAATAGAAAAAGGAGGCCGGGCGTGGTGGCTCACGCCTGTAATCCCAGCACTTTGGGAGGCCGAGGCGGGCGGATCACGAGGTCAGGAGATCGAGACCATCCCGGCTAAAACGGTGAAACCCCGTCTCTACTAAAAATACAAAAAAAAATTAGCCGGGCGTAGTGGCGGGCACCTGTAGTCCCAGCTACTTGGGAGGCTGAGGCAGGAGAATGGCGTGAACCCGGGAGGCGGAGCTTGCAGTGAGCCGAGATCCCGCCACTGCACTCCAGCCTGGGCGACAGAGTGAGACTCCGTCTCAAAAAAAAAAAAAAAAAAAAAAAAAAAAAAGGAGAAAACATCCTTAACTTCTCCAATATAAATCACTTTGGGAATCAGGCCCTTAGGGCAAATGGTACTCTATAATAAAGCAAGAGAGGCTGGGCCGCTCCATACATAATCTACCCCCTACACTACATGGTTAACAAGACATATTCAATGAGCCTTGCCAAGATATCTAAAAGGATTTCTCTCAGACCTTTAAGAATTTCATAAAAATATGTGTATCTTGTTTGTTAGCCATTTCTATATGATATGTGAAAAGTTGACATAATTTTTAAAAATTTGGATTACTCCCATTTAAAAGATTTGCTTATATAGCCATTATATACAGTTATTCTTAAAATTAGAGAACATAAGCTATTAGTTTAGATCATTCTTATAATATCCAAATATTGGCTATCTTTGTCTATAAAGTAGCATTTATCATTTAGACAGAGAAAATTATTTAATTTGACAAGTGGTATCGTAGCAAAGTAACCATTATCATTTCTTTTAAAGGTCTCTTTAGCAGATACCAAGCTAATCTGCATAAAAATATATTGAATTCTACTGGTGAAATTTAATGATCATTGTAATAAAATATCATGTGTTATTAAAAGCTTAGTAAGTAATGTACTCTATTTATTGAAGCATTATTTAAGGCACAGTTAAAATAATCTTGTGTGCTTGAGCAATTCTTATGAAAAGTAGAAAATAAGAAGTTCTTACCAAGTTTGCAATGATATAATGGTAGCCTTTAACATGCTTTCCAACACTTACAATCTGTGAAGATATAAGCAAATAAGAGAAAATCAATTTTAATTCACTGAAATATTATTTTAAAATTATTATCTATTTTAGCATAATTCCATGTAGAATCATGATGGGAAAATGATAGTTTTTTAAAAAATAAAAGTCACGTACTATAGTTAGAAGAATTGATAAGCCATATTCAGAATAAGTGGTAAAAAGTACCACTTTTATTTAAATCACATTCTATCAACCTCGTTCAGAAAATTATTATAATCTCCTTAAAAAGAATGACAATGCTATGAACCAACATTTACATATATTTCTCATGAGAATACATCAACATAGAAACTGAAAATGATTTTCATCCGAAGAATTTAGATGTACTTCACTTATTGATAATTTATAAAAATGGAAGATAGGCTGCTTGGTGTCTTAATAGGGTAAGAATAGTCATCTATGAGTAGACTGAGTAGCAAGCAAGGTTTTTCTAAGGCACAATCTCTGTTTATAGACATCTCTAATACCAGAAAATATTTAGTGAATTCTCACCTGTATATGAATGCAGTAGTGTTTTCTTATAATTACAAAAAGAAAAAAAAAATCAAAAAGCTTTTCTCTCTGTTGGATTCTTTTTTTTTTTCTGAGAATGTTTTCAGAAATGTTTAGGAAATTAGAAACTCAAACATCTTTTTTTAAAAAAAATTCTAGAGATCTTTTCAAAGTTCAATTTTATTTTTGCATTAGAGATTACAACTCTCATTCTCTGAAAAACTGAAAATTCCTTCAACAAGAGAAAATCTAATTTCAGTTACTAATGAGCAGCTTTGTAACTTCACTGGTGTCGTCAATGATAACAGTGAAAGCCACAATTTTCAGGTACGTTCATTGTCAAAGACAAAAATTAAATTATTTTAAGCATTTTATTATCCCATAAAAATAATTCTGTGTACTTGAGTGACTTATGTATGAAATGTAGGAAAACCGTTTTAAAATCAGAATGTATGATGGACATAGAGAGTAGAAAAATGGTTATCAGAGGCAGGGAAGGGTAGTGGGGGTGGGAGGGAGGTGGGAATGGTTAATGGGTACAGAAAAAAATAGCTGGAAAGAATGTATAAAACATACTGTTTTATAGCACAACAGGGTGACTATAGTCAATAATAACTTAATTGTACATTTTTAAAATAACTAAAAGTGTGTAATTGGATTGTTTATAACACAAAGGATAAATGCTTGAGGGGGTGGATACCCCATTCTCCATAATGTGATTATTACTCATTGCATGCCTGTATCAAAACATCTCATGGACCCCATAAATATATATACTACTATGTACCCACAACAATAAATAAATAAATAAATAAATAAGATCAGAACATATGAATTGTGCTGGAAAAGAGTTTTGTATACATGGCTATTGGTGAAATAAAATTTCTGCTGATCTTATGTTTTTGTTTTGATTGCATTCAAGACCTTCTTTCTATTTTTAATGTTCTCCAGTTTCAGTACAAGTTGTTTAGATTTTTACTTTTTAATTTCTGTTCATATTGTTTAGGATTTGTTGTACTTCCTGACTATGAGGGCTGATTGCCCTTTAACAATCCTGGGAAATTCACTGCCAATATCTCTTAAAATAATCCTTCAAAGATGTTTTCTGTTTGCTTCTAATAGATACTGCAATATTGGTATCACTGGCCTGAGGCCACTTTTATGATAAGTTCTCAGCTTCTAGATTCCCAGACCACAGTATATGATGTAAATTCAAAATACAATCTGCCTCAAGAACAAGGCTGTGACGACAGATTCTCAAGGAAGATATTTTCCTCACCAAACTAAGCCTAGGCCAAGGCAGAAAACACTTAGTTGACTCTGTACAGGGGACAGAATTTTTTCAGCTATACCCTTTTATTGGGCTGTTGCCCTTCACTGGTCTGGCTTTATGTATTGACTTGACTGAACCCAAAGCTTCTGTTCTTGGGAAAGCATTAAATGACCAATCAGCCTACCCAATCTGGCAATTTCCTTCATCACAGCTGCCTGTCATCTTGGCCCCTGAAGATTTTCTTTACTGTCTTGGAAGTTCAGCTATGCATTTATAATATTTTACATAACCTTCCTCCATGTTTTATATTGCCAGATTTATCTAGTCCACAATTTATCTAAAATAGAACTTTCCTTGAGAATCTTACCATGAAGATGAGGACAAGCAACAAATAGATGGGATTGTGGAGAAAGCTCGGTTTATGAAATAGCTGAATTAGGTGTCATATTGGGCAATCTAGACTTGAGTGATTTAACATGGGTGGAGCAGGATGGAGCCATCTTATTTTCTGGGAATCTCCAGTCTAGCTTGTGCAAAAGGTAATTATCAGGAGGATGCTTGATGCCACTCAGCCACGAAATGGCATATTGGCATATTCTATTATGGAGTCTACTACAGATTCCTGCTATTTGGCTACAGCAGGGGTTGTTGCCACTCAGCAATCCGTTATTTATCTCTTGCTGATTCACTATACGTTCTTCTGGTGTGGCTATTTAAGCCATTTTGCACTCTCTCTAAGCCCCTGTCCGCACCCTGCCTCTTATTTCTTAACACTCTCAGCTTGTGATTTCTTTGTGACTGCAGTCAAAAATGTGTCAGTTTAATTTTAAAAATCCATTTTAAGTGGAAATACTTGTAAATGTTAAAAAGATGTGGAATCAGTAAAAATTCTGCACTGGGTGTCTCCATAAAGAACTCATTGTCCATTCAAGATTGTTTAGCAAAAAACTATAATAAATTAAAGCTTATACAACGCATTTTCAAAGAGTGAGGACTTATAATACCACAAAGAACTGAAAGGGACAAAATTCCTGGCACAAAAGGTCTTGCAGAGCTCCATATGCATCAACATTCTGGTAACTGAGAGCTTGGGGAGCAGGGATCTGGAGATTTATTTACCTGGCTGGTGATGCTAGAGGCATCAGTATCTCTGCTGAGCCAGATCCTGGCTGGGAAAAAAACAAATGTACTGCACAAACGCTGTGAAGTTCTCATTGCCTTAGTTTCTTTGTGAAAAAATTCGATTTACAATCCATTGAGTGGTGTCCTGTAAATAGGGTGTTGTTTATTTTTAAATGATTGTGTAAAACTGACAGTGTCATCGTTGTGGTTTCACATGGCTTTCATCATCTCAACAAAAGTGAAGAGTATCTTCTGTAAAGAATAAATTTGAATGAGTTGACTGTGGGTGCAGACCAAACCTTGTATCTCCTATGTAATTGCTTTTTAAAAAATATATAAATAGGGAAAAGAAACAGTTTGAGTTGAAAGATAGGAATATAAAATGGAACTGTGTTCACACAAGTGTGGCTGGCTTAGTTGTCATGGGAAAACAATGCCCAGGGTGAGTAGTTGGTTGCAAAATTAATTATGGCCTTTCCTAAAGACAGAAAAATGTAGGGGAAGACAATCTGCATATTTTATATTTTTGAAAGAAACGGTGCTTCCTGACTTTTTAATGATCACCATTCTAACTGGTGTGAGATGGTATCTCATTGTGGTTTTGATTTGCATTTCTCTGATGGCCAGTGATGATGAGCATTTTTTCATGTGTCTGTTGGCTGCATAAAGGTGCTGGAGAGGATGTGGAGAATTAGGAACACTTTTACACTGTTGGTGGGACTGTAAACTAGTTCAACCATTGTAGAAGACAGTGGGGCGATTCCTCAAGGATCTAGAACTAGAAATACCATTCGACCCAGCCATCCCATTACGGGGTATATACCCAAAGGATTATAAATCATGCTGCTATAAAGACACATGCACACGTATGTTTATTGCAGCACTATTCACAATAGCAAAGACTTGGAACCAACCCAAATGTCCATCAATGATAGATTGGATTAAGAAAATGTGGCACATATACACCATGGAATACTATGCAGCCATAAAAAATGATGAGTTTGTGTCCTTTGCACGGACATGGATGAAGCTGGAAACCATCATTCTCAGCAAACTATCACAAGGACAAAAAACCAAACACTGTATGTTCTGACTCATAGGTGGTAATTGAACAATGAGAACACTTGGACACAGGAAGGGGAACATCACACACCTGGGCCTGCCGTGGGGTGGGGGAGGGGGGAGGGATAGCATTAGGAGTTATACCTAATGTAAATGAGAAGTTAATGGGTGCAGCACACCAACATGGCGCATGTATACATATGTAACAAACCTGCACATTGTGCACATGTACCCTAGAACTTAAAAGTATTAAAAAAAAAAAAAAAGAAACGGTGCAACTAGACTAAAAATAATGATCGTCTGTTTAGAGTTCTGTAGAATAGCTTAGGAAGGATCAATTATACGCTCTCAACGATGATAATCCTTACCAAAATAACGTGTTTAAGAGAAGTGACTAATTGATTCTTGTCATTACTTTTTTTTCCCTGTGTGTGGGGTTTTGTTTGTTTTGTTTTTGTTTTTGTTTTTTAAGAAGCAGAGAGTTGTTTAGGAATATCCATGGTGCTGGTCAAATAATTAAATTCTATAATCAGGCAATCAGGCCTATGCATATTAATAAGGTGAATGCCAGGTACAAACATTGTAATTTTTAACTGTTTTATTAACAAATTATGGCATAACCAATCTTCAAGAATGCAACTTCCAAATCCTTAGTCTTTGATGGAAGTTGGAGAAAATGAATTAGGACACTTTTCCATATTGACTTCACTTTTCAGTTCAATTTAGTTCAACAAATGCCAATGGAGTACTTCCTACCTATACGATTAAGGCTAAGAGATTTAAGGATTATAAAGATAAGTCTGTCAGTGCTGCTGTTACAAGGGTGTTTATTATCTCATAAGGGGAAGAGACACACAGAAATGACTAAAATACAGAGCAGAATAAGGGGAACGCAGTGGGTTTCAAGAAGTGATATCACTTGCTTAAGAGAACAAGGCAGACTTTTAAGAATGAATAGACACTAAATAAATATTGATTCAAGGAATGAATAAAGAAGTTAATCAGGATATAAATGTCAGAAACACTAACATATTAAGGTCAATTTGAGACTTGCAAATTAATGATAGTTTGGCCTTTAATCCACAATCAGATTTTACATTAATCCTTTATATATCAATAGTTTATAAAGTACTCAGGAGTCCTTCTATAAAAGTTGCTGTATATTATTTCTAACTATTACTACCAGGCTGTGATCATTCTATTGAACATGGTCTTCCAAACTAAAGACATGCAGTGGCACACTAGAATAGAAATAACTGGTTTTTCTCTTAATTTGATCTTATAAGTCAACTGGAAATTCCTCTCTCCGTTGTTTTCATGTTCCAGAGAATTCAGTGACATGGAGAAAATGGCACAACATATTCAGAGGTGTTAGGGCCATGATACTGACAACTTATTGTCATGAGGGCAGTCACTTTCACTAGTCTTCTTTTTCTATAGAAATTCCAGACTCCCAAATGTTCCCCAAATGTTGATTTTCAAAATGCTTTAAAATATTTTACTGCAGATAAAAACAAAAGCTTTAGTATCACTTCAGTTCCATCAAAAGAAAAATATAAGGCAAGGGTCTTTTGCAAACAAACAACAGACTTAAACTACAACCTTGTAAGATAACAGCAGGACTTCAGTTTCAGGGCTGTGATGTAAAATGGGGTGGGAAAAATAAAGTACTTCAGACCCCAAAAAACTAAGGCTGTTTTGTGTGAGATGAGATTTAGGAGGAGGCTAGGTAATGTAAATTCTTATCAGATATTTTAAAGGAAATGATACACCAATGCACGTACAAATTTGTGTGTAGGTCTGTGTGTGTATGTGTGTATGCAGGGGCGTGTGTGTGTGTGTGTGTTTATTTTCTTCTATACTTGGAGACGTCAGAAATTATGGAAGTTTCTAATTAGGAAGAACTCTTTTTTGGAGGACGGAGAGAGAAAGAAGAGTTTCCCATAAAGGGAATGGCTGCCTCTCAAAGTAGTGATCTCTCTGTCACTGGAAGTTCCTAGCAAAGTCTGACTGACTTTCAGTGAAAGATGTTGGGATAAGGTGGTCCTTTGGGTGACAGAGTCCTGTAAAGCCATACAGTCTGATGTCTCTATGGTCACTCACCATAATAGACACTATCAATGTCTTGCCTCATCTGTTTCCTTGTCATGTCAATGCATACTTGCTCACCTTCCAACTGCCAGCACCTGAATTTCCTTGCCTGTAGGTTTTCTGTGGTCTACAGAGCTGATATTGCCCTTGGAGAAGGAAGAGTTTAGAAGTGCCAGAGCATTAATGTCCTCCTTCCCAGCAGCCCACATACAATTCCTGAGAGGAGTTGGTACATAAGTACTCCAACTCCCTTGCCCAACAAATGACATGATTCCTAAGTGTTTGTTCTACACTAGCCTCCTCCAGTAATTAGTTTACACTCATTCCAAATGGAATTAACCCCCTGTCACCCAGATGGCAATTTGCTTGATAAATGCATCTTTCATTGACTAAATTTCTCTACTCCTCTTCCAGCCTGTTCTTTACTTCCCAAACAAACTGTGTGCACACAGATCTTTGTTTTAAGGTCAGCCTCTGGGGGAAATCAACTATGACAGTCTCCAAGTAAACCATTGTAGTAGTAGAATTGATAATGTAAAAAAATACTTTTGTTGGCTAATGATCCCAAGCTTTTCATCTCTGTATCATTCTATATTTATATTTAAATACTTACTCTCTAGGTATTATTAAAAACTCAGGTTGCATAAGATACCATACCTCTATTTGGATATCTAAACTGTTGAAAAAGGTTTACTGTCTCACATAGGCTAATAGGAATGACTCAGTGTCTTTATTTAGTAAATTATTTCTATTTCTAACAAAATTTTCACCTTCAAAATGTCTTCACTTGTGAATATCCATTCTTAGTACCGGTTTTTTATTATTTCTTTTTCTGACTATTCCAAATATTAAAAAAAATGACCTTCAGTTCCATCCTTTCAGGTCACAGATTTTAGATCACTTTATATGCATCTCTCCCCAATTTTATTGATTAGCAAACTGAGTGCCCTACAAGAGATATGGTTTGGATAGGGTCCTAGAACTATAGAGTGAAAAGCAAGTGCTGAAATTCAGCTGTTTGATTCCTTGTCCTGTGTTCGTTCCATGCCACCCCTTTATCCCACCATGGAACTGCCAATGGCTATTGAAAAGCACTTGTAGAGTATATCCTTCTCTCTGCCTATCATGGTGGTTCTAAAATTCTACATCTACAAGCCTTGGATAATAAGATTCTCATCATCTCAACTATGAACAATTCTTAGCACAGCTCCATTTTGATTTAATAACATTTTAATTTAGTGATTTAAAATATTTGCAAAGAGGTGTAAATGATTGTATGGCATTTGTGATTATGAGTTTGAAGCACATGTAACAGCTTGAAAGAACCATTAGAAGCAAGCTCTTTTTAAATTAAGGAGACATTTGTAAGAAACAATATAAATATAGTTCTAATAAGATGTAGAATTATTAGAAGGGGTGGAAGGGGTAATTCCTTCCTTTCATAAACAATTACATTAAATAAATATAGGCATTAAGTGATGAAGCTGGAACTCCAGCTGGGTCTTTTGACTATAGTTTCCATACTGTTTTCACTACACCCTGTTCCCTTCTTTAGACCACAGGAATTCAGACTTATTTTTAGCCAATGTTAATATATCTTTCATAAGAGAAAAATGAATAAAATATATACCTGTGAGAATAACATTGTCTATCATATTAGATAATTGATGAATACCAAACCTGTTTATGAGAAATCCAAGCTTTCTCATAATGAAACAAAGACACAATTCTTTCCTTACAAATAATCTCTTGTCTGAACATATTGCTGATTTGAATAACAGTATATATACAAAGTACTCCTAATTCCATTTTGTATGGGGCTAAGACAGGGACACACAGGTGGAGAATTATCAGGTAAACTTTAATGCATCCTAGTCTGGGTTTGCAGTTTCTTCATATATGCATAATAAAGCAAATTAGCAGAAAAGCTTAAATAACTTGGATTTATTTTTGTGTAGCTTGTACTTTTCCAAATGTATATTGAAAATGACAGTTCATGTACGTATCCCAAATGTAAGGCAAATACAACTCAGTCCAATAGGTAATTTTATTTATGTACAACAAGCTCAAAGTAATCAATTAAAAATGAAACTACCGGGGACCTGGGCAAGATGGCCGAATAGGAACAGCTCCGGTCTGCCACTCCCATCGAGATCAATGCAGAAGGCAGGTGTTTCTGCATTTCCAACTGAGATACCTGGCTCATCTCACTGGGACTGGTTAGACAGTGGGTGCAGCCCACGGAGGGTGAGCAGAAGCAGGGTGGGGTGTCACCTCACTTGGAAAGCACAAGAGGTCAGGGAACTCCCTCCCTTAGACAAGGGAAGCTGTAAGAGAATGTGCCATGAGGGATGGTGCATTCTGTCCCAGATACTACGCTCTTCCCACAGTCTTCACAACCTGCAGACCAGGAGATTCCCTCGGGTGTCTACACCACCAGGACTTTGGGTTTCAAGCACAAAGCTAGGCAGCCATTTGGGCAGACACTGAGCTAGTTGCAGGAGTTTTTTTCATACCCCAGTGGCACCTGGAATGCCAGTGAGACAGAACCATTTACTCCTCTGGAAAGGGGGGCTGAAGCCAGGGAGCCAAGTTGTCTAGCTCAGTGGATCCCACCCCTACGGAGCCCAGCAAGCTAAGATCCACTGGTTTGAAATTCTCGCTGCCAGCACAGCAGTCTGAGGTCAACCTGGGACACTCCAGCTTGGTGGAGGGAAGGGCCTCTGCCATTACCCCACATTGTAAACAAAGTCTCCAGGAAGTTTGAACTGGGCGGAGCACACCATAGCCCAGCAAAGCCACTGTAGCCAGACTCCCTCTCTAGATTCTTCCTCACCATACAGGGCATCTCTGAAAGAAAGGCAGCAGTGCCAGTCATGAGCTTATAGGTAAAACTCCCATCTCCCTGTGACAGAGAACCTGGGGGAAGGGGTGGCTGTGGGCACAGCTTCAGCAGAATTAAACATTCCTGCCTGCTGGCTCTGAAGAGAGCAGTGGATCTCCCAGCACAGTGCTTGAGCTCTGCTAAGGGACAGACTGCCTCCTCACGTGGGTCCCTGACCCCTGTGCCTCCTGACTGGGAGACACCTCCCAGTAGGGGCCAATAGACACCTCATACAGGAGAGCTCCAGTTGGCATCTGGCGGGTGCCCCTTTGGGATGAAGCTTCCAGAGGAAGGAACAAGCATCAGTCTTTGCTATTCTGCAGCCTCCACTGGTGATACCCAGGCAAACAGGGTCTGGAGTGAACCTCCAGCCAACTGCAGCAGACCTGCAGAAAAGGGTCCTGACTGTTAGAGAAGGAAAACTAACAAACAGAAAAGAATAGCATCAATATCAACAAAAAGGACGTCCACTCAGAAACCCCATCTGAAGGTCACCAACATCAAAGACAAAAGGTAGATAAATCCATGAAGATGAGGAAAAACCAGTGCAAAAAGGCTGAAAATTCCAAAAACCAGAACGCCTCTTCTCCTCCAAAGGATCACAAATCCTCACCAGCAAGGTAACAAAACTGGACAGAGAATGAGTTTGATGAATTGACAGAAGTAGGCTTCAGAAGGTGGGTAATAACAAACTACTGCAGGCTAAAGGAGTATGTTCTAACCCAATGCAAGGAAGCTAAGAACCTTGAAAAAAGGTTAGAGGAATTGCTAACTAGAATAACCAGTTTGGAGAAGAACATAAATGACCTGGTGGAGCTGAAAAACACAGCATGAGAACTTCGTGAAGCGTACACAAATATCAATAGCTGAATTGATCATGGAGAAGAAAGGATATCAGAGATTAAAGATCAATTTAATGAAATGAAGCATAAATACAAGGTTAGAGAAAAAAGAATGAAAACTAATGAAAAAGCGTCCAAGAAATATGGGACTATGTGAAAAGACCAAACCTACATTTGATTGGTGTACCTGAAAGTGACGAGGAGAAAGGAAGCAAGTTGGAAAACACTCTTCAGGATATTATCCAGGAGAACTACCTCAACCTAGCAAGATAGGCCAATATTCAAATTCAGGAAATGGAGAGAACACTACAAAGATACTCCTTGAGAAGAGCAACCCCAAGACACGTAATTGTCAGATTCACCAAGGTTGAAATGAAGGAAAAAATGTTAAGGGCAGCCAGAGAGAAAGGTTGAGTTACCCACAAAGGGAAGCCTGTCAGACTAACAGTGGATTTCTCTGCAGAAACCCTACAAGCCAGAAGAGAGTGGGGGTCAATATTCAACATTCTTAAAGGGTAGATTTTTTAACCCAGAATTTCATATCCAGCCAAACTAAGCTTCATAAGCGAAGGAGAAATAAAATCCTTTACAGACAAGCAAATGCTGAGATTTTGTCACCACCAGGCCTGCCTTACAAGAGCTGCTGAAGCACTAAATATGGAAAGGAAAAACTGGTACCAGCCACTGCAAAAAACATACTCAATTGTAAAGACCATTGACACTATGAAGAAACTGCTTTAAGTAACGGGCAAAATAATCAGCTAGCATCATAATGATGGATCAAATTCACATGTAACAATATTAACCTTAAATGTAAACGGGCTAAATGCCCCAATTAAAAGACACAGACTGGCAAATTGGATAAAGGGTCAAGACCCATCGGTGTGCTGTATTCAGCGACCCATCTCATGTGCAAAGACACATATAAGCTCAAAATAAAGAGATGGAGGAAGATTTATCAAGCAAATGGAAAGCAAAAAAAAGCAGGGGTTGCAATCCTAGTCTCTGATAAAACAGGCTTTAAATCAACAAAGATCAAAAAAGACAAAGAAGGGCATCACATAATGGTAAAGGGATCAATGCAACAAGAAGAGCTAACGATCCTAAATATATTTGCACCCAATACAGGAGCACCCAGATTCATAAAGCAAGTTCTTAGAGACCTACAAAGAAACCTCGACTCCCACACAATAATAGTGGGAAAATTTAACACCCCACTGTCAATAGTAGACAGATCAAAGAGACAGATAATTAACAAGGATATTCAGGACTTGAACTCAGCTCTGGATCAAGTGGACCTAATAGACATCTACAGAACTCTCCACCCCAAATCAACAGAATATACATTCTTCTCAGCAACACCTCACACTTATTCTAAAACTGACCACATAACTGTAAGTAAAGTACTCCCTAGCAAATGCAAAAGAACAAAAATCATAACAAACAGTCTCTCAGACCACAGTGAACTCAAACTAGAACTCAGGATTAAGAAACTCACTAAAAACCCCACAACTGCATGGAAACTGAACAACCTGCTCCTGAATGACTACTGGGTAAATAACAAAATTAAGGCAGAAATAAATAAGTTATTTGAAACCAGTGAGAACAAAGACACAATGTACTAGAATGTCTGAGACACAGGTAAAGCAGTGTTTAGATGGAGATTTGTAGCACTAAATGCCCACAGGAGAAAGCAGTAAAGATCTAAAATCGACACCCTAACATCACAAGTAAAAGAACTAGAGAAGCAAGAGCAAACAAATTCAAAAGCTAGCAGAAGACAAGAAATAACTAAGATCAGAGCAGAACTGAAGGAGACAGAGACACAAAAAAACCATTAAAAAAATTAATGAATCCAGGAGCTAGTTTTTTAAAAGATTAACAAAATAGATAGACCACTAGCTAGACTAATAAAGAAGAAAAGAGAGAAGAATCAAATAGACACGGTAAAAAATAATAAAGGGGATATCACCACTAATTCCACAGAAATACAAACTACCATCAGAGAATACTATAAACACCTCTATGCAAATAAACTAGAACATCGAGAAGAAATGGATAAATTCCTGGACACATACACCCTCCCAAGACTAAACCAGGAAGAAGTAGAATCCTTGAATAGACCAATAACAAGTTCTGAAATTGAGGCAGTAATTAATAGCCTACCAACCAAAAAAGCCCAGGACCAGACAGATTCACAGCCAAATTCTACCAAAGGTACAAACAGGAGTTGGTACCATTCCTTCTGAAACAATTCCAAACAATAGAAAAAGAAGGACTCCTCCCTAACTCATTTTATGAGGCCAGCATCATCCTGTTACCAAAACCTGGCAGAGACACAACAAAAAAAGAAAATTTCAGGCCAATATCCCTGATGAACATCAATGCGAAAATCCTCATTAAAATACTGGCAATCCGAATCCAGCAGCACATTAAAAAGCTTATCTACCACGATCAAGTCGCCTTCATCCCTGAGATGTGAGGCTGGTTCAACATATGCAAATCAATAAACATAATCTATCACATAAACAGAACCAATAACAAAAACCACATGATTATCTCAATAGATGCAGAAAAGCCCTTCGGTAAAATTCAACACCCCTTCATGCTAAAAACTCTAAATAAACTAGGTATTGATGGAACGTATCTCAAAATAATAAGAGCTATTCATGACAAACGCACAGGCGATATCATACTGAATGGGCAAAAGCTGGAAGCATTCCCTTTGAAAACTGGCAAAACACAAGGATGCCCTCTCTCACCACTCCTATTCAACACATTATTGGAAGTTCTGGCCAGGGTAATCAGGCAAGAAAAAGAGATGAAGTGTATTCAGATAGGAATAGAGGAAGTTAAATTGTCTCTATTTGCAGATGACATGATTGTATATTTAGAAAACCCCATCTTCTCAGCCCAAAATCTCCTTAAGCTGTTAAGCAACTTCAGCAAAGTCTCAGGATACAAAATCAAGTGCAAAAATCACAAGCATTTCTTTACACCAATAATAGACAAACAGCCAAATCAATAGTGAACGCCCATTCACAATTGCTACAAAGAGAATAAAATACCTAGGAATCCAACTTGCAAGGGATATGAAGGACCTCTTCAAGGAGAACTACAAACCACTGCTCGAGGAAATAAGAGAGGACACAAACAAATGGAAAAACATTCCATGCTTATGGATAGGAAGAATCAATATCATGAAAATGGCCATACCGCCCAATGTAATTTATAGATTCAATGCTATCTCCATCAAGCTACCACTGACTTTCTTCACCGGGTTAGAAAAAACTACTTTAAATTTCATATGGAACCGAAAAAAGAGGCTGTATAGCCAAGACAATCCTAAGCAAATAGAACAAAGTCAGAGGCATCACACTACCTGACTTAAAACTATACTACAAAGCTATGGTAAACAAAACAGCATGGTACTGGTACCTAAACAGATATATAGACCAATGGAACAGAACAGAGTCCTCAGAAATAACACCATACATCTACAACCATCTGATCTTTGACAAACCTTACAAAAACAAGCAATGGGGAAAGGATCTCCTATTCCATAAATGGTGCTGGGAAAACTGGCTAGCCATATGCAGAAAACTGAAACTGGACCCCTTTTGTACACCTTATACAAAAATTAACTCAAGATGGATTAAAGACTTAAACATAAGACCTAAAACTATGAAAACCCTAGAAGAAGACCTAGGCAATACCATTCAGGACATAGGCATGGGCAAAGACTTCATGACTAAAACACCAAAAGCAATGGCAACAAAAGCCAAAACTGACAAATGGGATCTAATTAAACTAAAAAGCTTCTGCAGAGCAAAAGAAACTATCATCAGAGTGAACAGGCAACCTACAGAATGGGAGAAAATTTTTGCAATCTATCCATCTGACAAAGGGCTAATATCCAGAATCTACAAGGAACTTAAACAAATTTACAAGAAACAAACAACCCCATCAAAAAGTGAGCAAAGTATATGAACAGACACTTCTCAAAAGAAGACATTTTTGTGGCCAAGAAACATGAAAAAAAGCTCCTGATCACTGGTCATTAGAGAAATGCAAATCAAAACCACAATGAGATACCATCTCATGCCAGTTAGAATGGCGATCATTAAAAAGTCAAACAGCAGATGCTGGCGAGGATGTGGAGAAATGGAAACAATTTTACACTGTTGGAGGGAGTGTAAATTAGTTCAACCATTGTGGAAGACAGTGTGGCCATTCCTCAAGGATCTAGAACCAGAAATACCATTTGACCCAGCAATCCCATTACTGGGTATATATACCCAAAGGATTATAAATCATTCTACTGTAAAGACACATGCACACGTATGTTTATTGCA
The DNA here is from genome assembly GCF_000001405.40 of Homo sapiens. Taxonomy (NCBI): domain Eukaryota; kingdom Metazoa; phylum Chordata; class Mammalia; order Primates; family Hominidae; genus Homo; species Homo sapiens. The sequence continues at coordinate 105,873,370 of NC_000011.10, read as the reverse complement.
GCACTATTCACAATAGAAAAGACTTGGAACCAACACAAATGCCCATCAATGGTAGACTGGATTAAGAAAATGTGGCACAAATATACCATGGAATATTATGCAGCCATAAAAGGATGAGTTCATGTCCTTTGCAGGAACATGGATGAAGCTGGAAACCATCATTCTCAGCAAACTAACACAGGAACAGAAAACCAAACACTGCATGTTCTCCCTCATAAGTGAGAGTTGAACAATGAGAATATAGGGACACAGGGAGGGGAACATCACACACTGGGGCCTGTCAGGGAGTGGGGGGCTAGTGGAGGAATAGCATTAGAAGAAATACCTAATGTAGATGACGGGTTGATGGGTGCAGCAAACCACCATGGCACATGTATACCTATGTAATAAACCTGCACATTCTGCACATGTATCCCAGAACTTAAAAAAATAAAAAAAGATACACCATGTTCAATCTAAGATATTCCTGTGAAAAAATTCTCAGTAAATTAAAAAATAAAAATTTACAGTTCATTTATATACAAAAAATTAAACTATTCACAGTATAGTTCAATGGTATTTACATCTTATGGTATACTTTTTGAACATGATAATTCCAAAAGTAGTAGTATATACAGTTAATTTTGTTTAACCAGAAAGTCAAATATCTAATTTCTTGAGATGTCTCTAATTGGACATATCAATGAGTAGATATCTATTCTTGAATTATAAAGAAAACTTGATGGGGCTGGTGGTGATGGGAATAAAAGTTATCTTCAAATATCACATACTGTTATGAATGTTTCAAAGGGATATATCATTAGGGAGGAATACTTGCTGAATTTTAACGTCAAATATGTTGAAGATGAAATTGTTCAACTGTGGAATTCATAAGCACCTGGTGAAGATTTTGTTCACAGGATGGATGAACTTCTAAGAACCAGTCAACCTGAGAGTCTATGATTCTGTGATTCTCCAGTGTAGAGGACTGTGTGAGCCATTGGCTCTGGGAGGCTTCTTTTAATATGTGATGTTCTCACCCTAGCCCCTTGCTGTTATATATCTTTTCTTTATTATATTTGAGATAATATCATCTGAATGTCCTTTCTTCTTTCATTTTTCTTAAATCAAGTTTTCTTTTATTTTCTTGGATGAATACAAGGCAAATAAATTATAAAGAAGTGGCTTCAAAGTGTTTTACAGCCAATTTTACAAAGAACACTAGGTTAAATAAGGTTTAAGAGGTTTCTTTGCCATAGGAATTTTTAGAGACTTCAATATGCTAATGTACAGTGAAGTCTCAATAGCTAGGGTATGCAGTTCTGTAGAGCAGTTTTAAAAGGTTGTTTAAGGACATTCTTCCTAGAGCATTATCTTTCACTCACCTCCTTCCTTAACTTTCACATACATTTCTGACTTTATGTTGCTTTAGCATAAACATAAATGTTGCTTTAGCATCATTTTCTTATTTCCCTTCAGTGTTGATAATCTATACCCACAAAAATGACTCAATTAGACTATAAAATATGTTCAGTTCATAATTTTGGAAGTAATCTTCAATATTAAATAACTTCAGCTAATACCATTTTTGGTCAGGGTTTTACATTTGCATGTTTTAAATTATATTTGACATGAAATTGTGATTAATTCTGAAAGTCATATGACTTCAAAGTCATTCTCTTTGCTTTTATTTCAGCAGATTTTTTTTTCACATTTGAGTTTATTTGGGCTTTGTTATGCTATACTTCAAATATGTAATAGACAACCAGCTTCCTCTGAAGTGGATTCATAAAGACACAGATGTAAGTAGATACCCTGTCTTTATAAATCAGTTAGACATATTTACATTTGTTAAAATGATTACTTCCCATATTATTAAAATAAATATTATTATAAATATTATTTTAAAAATCCCAAAGGTCTAACTATAGAAATAAAACACAAAAAAAAACCTCTCCCTAATAAACTAGATTGACCTATTTGCTGTGGGTATGTAATTTTTGCATAGCAAGCTCAGTTTATTTTGCCTATATTTGTCCACAGGCCAGTCAAAACTTAAAGGCTATTATTCATATTGACTAGCAATACTATTAAAATTGCCAAAACAAATTTATTTTTCTAAAAACCCTACTTGGATTAGTTACACTTCTTAAAATCTTAACAAAAATGGTGTTTGGCAAATTAGACATTTAATAAACAAATTTAATACATTAATAATTTCTCATTATCACTATATGGCATTATATATTTGTTCCTTTATTGTGTGGCTTCCCCACTAAAATATAAACTGCAATGTGCAGGGGTTTTCCTAAGCCGAGGATATGCCTGGCCTGACCTATAACAGGCACTCAATAAATATTTAAGTAGATGTCAAACAAATTAAGTTATACACTGGTATAAATGTGACTATAAAAAATATAGTCTACAGATGAAGTATCATTGTTTATTTGCTACACTCCTTAGTCACCAGGTACACTGCTCAGTCACTTGGCTTTCTACCTTCTTTCTGGTTCATTCTCTATGTTGTCATCGGAATTATGGCTCTAAAACACGACGTCAATCATGTTTAAAAACATCCGATGACATCTATGATGCAATGATGAATTTAAAACTTCCTAGTAAAGCCCATGAGGCCACTCATAATCTGCCTTTAATTTGCCTTGGCAATCTCATACCCTCTGTGGTTAGGCTCCATCCACATTCACTTCTTTCCCAGGACACGAAGCTCTCTCCTATTACCCTGTTCTCACACATGCCATCTTCCTTGAATGCTCTTTCCCAGCGTCTCTGCCTGGGGAATTCAAACTCCCCTTTCAATAATTTGCTTCTGTCTTTTTTTTTTTTGTACCTTTCCACATTGTGCTGCGTTATTTGATTGTGTTCTTCTGTTTTTCTTTGCATTCAGAGTTCCTTCACAGCATCGACTAAAATTGATGTAACTTATATGCAGTGCTTGGAAATTAGTAGGTACTGGATAAATGTGTGTTAAATAAATGACCAAATGGATAAGTGTTGTGGTACAGGTATAAGAAAGGAAAATAATAGAATGTGGTGGGCAGAGACAAGAAAATTTGTTTCTCTTGTGTTACTGCACAATATTTATATAATTATATTATGAACACAAAATTAATTATAAAATTAGAATAATTTCTAAAAGAATTAGAATAAATTATAAAAACAGAATATATATTAAATATAGAATATATATATTTCATCACACATGCACACTATATATATAATCCCCAGCATGAGTTCTGTGGTTTTAAAAAGAAAACTTTAAGTCAAATACGGAAGCAAATTATGTCTAGACTTTGGATGAATAATAGAACTCTTTGGTATATATGGCCCTGGGAAAAAACTTTAAAAAATGGAAAATAAATTTCTTATATCCAATCTTAAACTGTCTTTCATTTTTATCTTTACCAGTGGTTATGTGAACCTTATCATTATTATTTTGGTAAAAATTACACTACTTTATTTCCTTCTAATCTTAAACTTGTCACAAGTTGTATATGAGATTGGAGAAAATCTGTATCAGCAGGGAACTAGTGTCCAATTAGGTGGCTAATCTTGAGGGAAGGTTTAGAAATGAATTTGTTCCATTACTTTTCTGACTGAATCAAAGTGGATAAAACAATGTAGCACTTCATTTGCTGGCAGAGAGCACACTTTATTACTGAACTGTTTAATATAAATACTGTATAATTTATAAAAATGTAGTTATGTTTATGATGTTTACAAGACTCAGAAAAGGGTCCTCAAAGGTACTGTTGAATGTTTTGCTGCCTTTTTGTTAATCTCACTGCCTTTTAAACATTTAAAACATTTGAGGAGTAGATGCAAAATTCTACTGAAATAATTATGATGTTATCCTCTCTTTTCTACCTAATGAGGAATATAACTTACCTCTCCCTAAACCACAGTAGATACTTGTATGCAGCTGCTTTTGATTTAAGGCTAGAAAAACTACTTCATTTTATACCTCTAAAATTATCAAGCAGATTTTCCTTTATCTTTGTAAAAGAAGCTGAAGTTTTGGATGTTTCTGTCAAAAACAATAGTAGAAATTGTTCCAGTAAGTGTTCTTGCAGCATCAACTAAAACATATTTAGTTGAACCTAACCTAATCGTAGAATTCATGATTCTTCCCAGACAAAAGCACTTGCATTCTGACAATCATATTTTTCTTCTTCCTTGAAAAAACTTATATCCTTTGGCTCCTTCACTTTGCCTTTTATTTTATCCTATTTTTTACTTTATAAGAAAATGAGGTATGGCTGCAACCATGGTAACAGTTGCTAGGAGACAATTAGACACCCCTTTCTAACCCCCACCAATTCCATTTGCACTAGTCCAGCAGATCTGTAAAGGTGTTTCTGTTTTCCATGAAAACAACAAACCTAGTGCATCATAATAGGACTTGCACATTCGAATCAGTTCTGCTAAATAGTAATATTAAAGAAGTAAAATTCACCTTCTTAGCAAAACCTCACATCTTTCGAGTTTCTTCTTACTTTGTTGTAGATCCTGATTGAGCAAAGCTCAATATGCAAAAGGAGCTTTATAATGAAGCAAAGCAGCAAGCTCTGCCAGTACTGCAGTGCGGGAAATTGCTGATATGACTGCTTTGCTGTAGTAATTTCTGTGAGTGCCTGATTTGTTCCTGTTGCATCTCACCCATTGTTACTTTAATATATGGAAATAAAACTCTTGCTTTTTTCAGCCTGTACAACAAACTCTGGGACATGTAGGTGTCCCATAATCTTGGACAGGTGAAATTCTGGACAAGAAAGCCTCCCAGGTAATTGAAGACTTCCCTTAAACACGTACAAAATGTGTCTCCTGCCTGTGTCTTCAAGTGAGGCTCATTTAGACTTCCAATTTATTCGACAATTGTTGTTTGAACCCCTATCATCACTAGGGGATGTATTGGTAACAATAAACATAGACTCCGCCCTGATGGAGATAAGATTTCAATAGGAAAGATAGACAACTAAACTGGTGTAATGCAAGGAATCTACATTTCTGCTACCTCCAATCTTTACAGCTTCAACTTTGTCTACTGCTCCGTTTCAGCTTCTACTTTTGCTTCAAACCAATCTTGATTACCTTTTGAGCATTTTCAGATCTCGTTTCCTTTACAGTTCGTTCTGTCTTGGAATACCCTTACCCCTTTTCTCTGGCTGGAAAGATCCAGTGCATTTTCAGTTTAAATGCTTCTTTTCTCTGTGAAACATTTGGGACTGCCTTGATTATACTTAGTTACCCCATCTTCTGGATTCTTCATACATTTTTGTAATATCTCTGTTTCTGAAGCCATCAAATTATTTTGTAATTATTTATGCATGTTTCTGAGTTCCCAGCTTGAGTGTAAATGTTGTGTAAGGACCATGAGTTGCTCACCTTTGTACAGCACGCATTGCAGTGCCTGGAACAATGTCTGGCATGCAGACGTTGAATGAATGTATGAGGTGTCAAGTGCAGAGCTGTCCCACCTACAGTTGTTGGCTCATTCCTACTGTCAGAGTGTATGCCACTGAATCCTATATAGATGATTCAAATAATCAAAGCTGTTATCTCCAATTATGAGATCTCTCCTGTAATGACTCCTCCTCCTTATAACTATAGCTATCTTTCCTCTTCTTATTGTGCTTCTTTTTGTTTCTTCTGTCTCTTCTGTTTTTGAGGGTTTTGTTTTGTTTTGCTTTTTGGCTTTGGTACAAAAAATTGACCTCATGGCCATTAGCCAGTAACAAAAATGTTCCTTTCCTTTTAGGTATTGACTCAACCAGTTATGGGATACAGAGGCAGGCTGTTTAAGCCTTCAGCTCCTTTTAATGCTTTATTCAATATAGAGACTTTTTGGGAGTCCGGGGGAACTGACAGAGTTCTAGATTTGTACGATACCTGATGTTTGAGAGTTGTGAAAATTTGTAAATGAAAACTCTAGATAAATAGGCTTTTACTAAGTATTGCCATGCATTTGACCATTTGCCAAAAATTCTGAGTCCTAACATCTCACTTAGATGGTACTAGACATGGTAGGCAGCCTTGGGTTTAGAATAAGTTAACTGGGATCATGTCCACATTTCATCTCTTATGTGCAAATGGCCTCATTTAGGTTTGAGAAATTTTCCTCTCTTTCTCATTGATCTTGCCCTGAGGTAGGATTATTGGCTTCTTTTGGTCACAGTAAGCCTCTGAGAGGTCAGCCGTGGCTTTTAGGCTTTTTTGATTGATTTGCAAACAGTGTGGGAAGGTCACTGGTTTTGTCAGTAATCCGAGATTCACACTGTGTCTGATGGGACACTAAATTCCCTTTCATATAATGAAAGTGGCAATACTGCTGAAAGGGGTTCCAATTAAATCTGGGGTACATGATAAAGAAGCAGTTTAAGATACCTGTGAGTCAACTGTAGAGACATTTTTCTCCATTCTTTTGTTAAATACCTACTTCATACTCTAAGGTCAGTCCTTACTATCTTTTCCTGATAAATACTTGGTTAGATTCCTTAAATACATCCATGATGTGTACTAGGATCAATATTGTTCTAGTTTTCTATCAAATGCCTTTGATATCTCATCTATTTAATAATAACTGGCATCCATAGCAAAACCCCCAAGGCAGTGTAAGATCCTTTATCACTTTCTACATAATGTATTTCTAAAAGAAATCATATATTTTAGTAGGATTTTAGGAAATACTTTTGGTTTAAACCTTAGTTAACCAGACAGGAGTTACTAACCATAGCAGAAAATGTATCGGTTTTGCTTAGCACTGTATCTTCAGCAGAGCATAGTACCTGAATATATATATATATATATATATATATATATATACACACACACACACACATATGCGTATATATGTATGTGTGTATATATATGTATGTGTATTATATATGTATACACACACTGCATATGCAGTGTCACACACACACACACACAAACACACACACACAACACAGTGGGGACTTAACAAATGTTTGTAGAATGAATAAATATCCAGAAAAGGTCACCTGACTGAAGTTTTACTATTAATACACGCTTCTTTTCAAGGTATATCCCATGCATACAATTATACATTGCTTTAGGATAAAACAAATCATCAAAAAGACTTCACTGCAAACAGCATTATTGACTTTTAGAGACAGCAAGGATTTTCAAGATCATCTCAGCTCAACTGTCCTTATTTAAAGTGAGAACGAGAAGAATCATAGGTGGTTAGTGATTCCATTTACGTTTTAAAAATAAACAACTAAAGATTTCTTATCCATCTCTCAGAGAATGAAAACACTCATTTTCATTTTGTTGGAACCATCATAATTTGGGAGATATAATGTAACTGACCAAAGAAAGAGGTAGATGAGTGCAGACCATCCAACTACCCATTGGGATAATTCTGTTCCAGAGGATCAGAGTTGGGAGTTCATGGGAATAGGGTTTCACTAACAGGAACACACAAATCTAGCTGCTGGACCCTTGGGTTTTTATCACAGTGGAGTAAAATGTGTGAGCAACCACTAGCCTTAAGTGCCATTTTGCTCAATTACTTTGGCTACCAGAAAAAGAGTTAAGATAAGATTTGTTGTTGCTTTTTTGCTACTAGGTTAAACATGTGAACCAAAGTCTGACACTTCAATGTTCAATTGATAACGTTATTAGGTAGAATCCATAGGGACTCTTTGCAAGTAATAGAGTTCAGAATTTAAAATTAATAGATACATGTAAAAATCATAAATAAAAGACTCCCACTATAAATCTCTTATTTTGATATGAAACGGTTCTTTTGATTCCAGCTACATGAAGCTATTGCAAGCTGTTCTACAAAATAATTGATATTTTTGTTATAGGAAGAAAATTAGGTGAAAGGAATAAAGCTAGGGTCCACAATGATATTTATAATATCTTTCAAACTCATAGCAATTTAAGTAAAAATATTCTATAAAAAATTCATCACAAATTCAGCAAACACTTAAAAATACTTCTCATTTTAGATTTCTTTTCAAGGCTTGTTTCTGCAAATGAGTGGACCAAATTGCTCATTGGATTTAGAGAGCCAAAATTCCAATTTGTTTGATTGGTGTTGATATGAACAAAATAAATCTAACTTTGTGGTTTCAATATGTTTCTACTCTCTTAAATGACTCAGTGGGTGATATTTACATACATTCTTCCATTTTTTCTTATGGTGTACATTAAACCATATTTTCAAATACTTGATCTTAAACTCATATTTTGAAATGCTTGAATGAGTATATGTCTAGCTACTATATTAAATAGCAATACATTTATAAGAACGAATTAGTTCATGTCATAAAATAATTTGGAAAACATGTATAGAAGATGAAATGCTTCTATAACCACAGTTTTCCATTAACATATTTTGAGAGAATATTGTCTGAACTATTTCTATTATGTTTTTGCAAATTGATACAAATTAAGATGTCAATGAAGTAATTATTGATGGCATGCTACCATAATATGAAATGTGCCCATCCTTCTAGAAATTTTTTTTTTTGAGATGGAGTTTCACTGTTGTTGCCCAGGCTGGAGTGTAATGGCACGATCTCGGCTCACCACAACCTCCACCTCCTGGGTTTAAGTGATTCTCCTGCCTCAGCCTCCCGAGTAGCTGGGATTACAGGCATGTGCCACCACACCCGGCTAATTTTTTATTTTTAGTAGAGACAGGGATTCTCCATGTTTGTCAGGCTGGTCTCGAACTCCCGACCTCAGGTGATCCACCTGCCTCGGCCTCCCAAAGTGCTGGGATTACAGGCGTGAGCCACCATGCCCGGCCATAGAAATTTACTAATATGAAGTGTGTCCATCCTTCTAGAACTTTATCATCATTGTATTAATTTCACCATCTTCTGAGAAAAGTCCACCTTTTCAAAGGCATTTTTCTAATCAAGATTATTTAGCATTTAACTTTTTACCTTTTAAAAATGCTTTGGTTGGTTTTTTGAAATTGTTTTCTTTTGCTATCTTAATTTATGAAAAAGGATGTTGAAACACAGGGGTCTTAAGATACACGTACAAACCCCTGACAAAGTATGGATTAGCTCTTGTGGAAGAGCCAAGAGTAAAACCAAGAAAACATTGAAAGTTGTTTCATTTAGAGCTACAAGGAATTAAAATACAGATAGTAAACAACAACAACAGCATGTTCAGAATAAAAACACAGCTTTTCTTGGAGGAAAATTTTATAGGACAATTAAGAGTACATTATTTTCTCACAATGCAGTAGACTTTATTGCAATTTATGAGATTTATACCTGAGAGGCATTTTAAATGGACAAAGTTCTCTTACTATTATTATTATTATTACCATGCAACCATGATAGAAAAGAAACCTTTTAGAATTTGGCAAGAAGAATAGAAAAGGTAGACACTCAAGTTTTCTAATTTCTTTAATATGACAAAAAATATATAAGATGTCCAGTTTCTTTAGCAGGAGCTCATTTACGGCTTATTCAGAGTTTATCCAAAGCACCCAGGTGTGCCAATTTTCTTCTTAGAAACCAGCTAAGCCTCTGAAATGGGTCAGTGTGCTTTAGGCACTCAATTGCCTCCTCCAGACTTGGTCTTTTAAGCACAGGTGCTAAGTGGAGGGTCTTTCTGAGCCTTACTCACCCTCTGACAGGAACTTGGCAATCCAGGCAGTTCTTAGAATTGGCTGCTCTGTGGGATTCATCGTGAGTTATTTACAAAGCTTCAGTTGTTCAGGTCAAACAACTCAAACTCTCAATACAGGGGCAGGAGTGGGAGGGAGGGAAATGGGAGTCGGAGGTAAAGTGGCTGTATTGCTTAAGAAAGAAGAAAGATTTTTCTTGGATTCTGTAACTAACCATTTAAAAATTTCATATACATTGAATAGCTACAACTTCAAAAATTTTTTGGACTCTCTTAGGAATAAGCCCGAGTAATGTATAGGCTTTTAATTAATATTTCCCAAAATAACATATATATTTCTTCAGTATATATATATATATATTTAGCTTTTTCTTCTACAAAGGGACGACAGGAAGTAAATACTCTGTTATTTCCTCTTATGGTCTGGCTTCTTTAGACTTTAGCAATACAACATTTTTGTTTGTTTGTTTTCTTTTACTTTTCACTTTTACAAATGCTAATATAGTTGAGGAAGGAAACTGAAGACATCTAGTCCCTTGCCTGCAAATAGTAAAGCTGAATCTCTGAAATATATTTTGGTTTTCATTCTTACAATTGAATACTAAAGTTATTCCTATAAATAAACCTCCAAATTGGCAAGTTTACTAATGGAAATCAAGTCATATAATTATGCAGTTAAGCTATATGTAAAAAACTAACCAACAAAAAATTATATTACCCATGTCTGGCTGAACTAACGTATTGTAGATAATATGAGCAAGCATTTCTAAAACCACTAGATGGCATTCACTCACTGCAATTTTGGCCAAAGAGCCTTTAAAGCTTTATCATGATCTGCAGGGGTAGGGAAAGGCAGATGTTATCCATTATTTGATGATATTTTCCTATCATTTAATACAACGGCAAAGCTCAGTTTAATCTTTTCCTGGCTGCTTCAAATCAAATCAACAAATATTTATTGAAACATTTATTCAAGGACTTTTCCATTTTGAGGAGAGTTGAAAACCATCTCCACTGGGGTAGTAATGTATTGACTTATAATACCTAGCAGAAAACATGCTATATACAGTATTCCACTAAATTATATACAGTATTCCACTGACTTTTCTTTTATTTTATTGCTTTAGTAATTTATGTTGCTGTTTCTCATGTAGCACTTCTCTAAAGTAAGTGTGCCTCTAAAAATGGTGCACCCACAAATTTAGAATTTTTGTACTATTTTTAGATGGGATTAATCTTCAACATTAATATTTTCGAAAACTGGAGGCCAAGAGCTCTTCAAGATTCACACAGAGTCTTTCACTCATTCAAGTCTTAAGAATATGTGAGAAATAGCTTTCTAAATACATTGAGACTTAAGAACCAAAAAGGTCCTTGGTGATAAAAGATTGTGATTTGGTCCTGAAGATAGTCATGGAATGAAAACTCTCAAACCTCACACTCCAAATTAAAAGCTGGGAGAAGATGTTGATGGGGACAAGTCAATCAAAGGTTAAATTTTTCTGTATAGGGTCTAGGTTAAAAATATAAAATCTAGGACTTACCTGTTCTAATATGTTTTGAAGTCTCTCTATCTCACAGTCTATTACAAACTTCTTCTCTTGTCTTCTGTCAAGTTCTTCTAGAAGTTGCCTATAGCTGACATCATTAAAATTTTCCACACATATAGCGCTGACATGCCAACCATTTTGTCCTGCTTTTTCCATAATAGCTTGGAGTATCGAGTATCCTATTGGGGAAAAAAAAAGTTACTAAAAACATGCTTTTACTCCCCTTTAATGATGTATGCAGGTACTGAGCCTATATCAACACTGTTATGTTCCAAAATATACTGAATGCTTAGAAACTTAAAGTCTGTGTGGTTATTTCTGAATAATTTATTCTTACTTTCTTTAGTCATGGCAACAAAATCTCTTAAAATGTTGATTGAATGAAGTAGCAACACCATACCTTGTGCTCTCAAAATCTCTTTACTGGAGAACATTGCATTGCTGTAGACATTTTTTTGATGAGACAAACCCCAAACCAAATCCACCACCATCTGTAGTCAATAGCAATTTCATAAACCCTTTTTGTTATTTTACTCACTAGATGGAACTCATTTTGAACAACTGTTTGACTTTCCCCTTGAACAAGGTAGTACAACATTTTTGGTTCAACTATGGAAGAGAAGATGTAAAAGAAACAGTACAACAGTATTTATTGAGGACTCATTATTCTCGGTGCTTTATTTGTTGATGAGGACAGGTGCATATTAGAGAGGCATTATTTAACTCTTCCTCTCTCAGCAGGTGAATGATATAGACTGGGGATCAGTTGAATAACCACTAGGTGAGGCACTGGTACTCCTAATCAGTAAGAGACTGATGACCAAATAAACAACAGAAACTTAGTTTTAAAAAGTGTGTAGCCGGACTCAAGGTAAAGGCTTGGCCCAAGGGAAAGCTTGGTTAGAGCTGTCTGGATGGAACAAGGAAAAATACCACAGAGGAGAAACAACTTGAATTGGGTCTTGAAGGTTGAGAAGGAGCGTGCAAGACTGATGCAGGTGGGGGTGTTTATTACGTGAAGACAGCCTGCCATGAGAGAATAAAATGAATGGTCTTCACCCTGTTCTTGATCTAGTTCTCTCTGCATGTGGAAGGGAAGGCACCTGGTCCAAGCACCTGGGTTAAGGCAGAAGCTGTAAACTCATAATTCCTGCATTTCTTCAGGAAATGCAATATATCTTCAGGCCAATATTGTCTTGATTGTCCTGCCTTTTTTCCATCTCTCTTTTTTTTTTTTTTTTTTTTTCAGACAGTCTTGCTCTGTTGCCCAGGCTGGAGTGCAGTGGCACAATCTTGGCTCACTGTAACCTCCACCTCCTGGGTTCAAGCAATTCTTCTGCCTCAGCCTCCCAAGTAGCTGGGACTACAGGTGCGTGCCACCATACCTGGCTGATTTTTGTATTTTTAGTAGAGCCAGGGTTTTACCATATTGGCCAGGCTGGTCTTGAACTCCTGACCTTGTGATCCACCTGCCTCAGCCTCCCAAAGTGCTGGGATTATAGGCGTGAGTCACAGCACCCAGCCCCATCTCTCATTTTTGAATTGTAATGTGAGAGAAGAATAAAAAAAAGATTCTTTGAATTTATAAATATCCCATACACTAAGATTGGTTAGGATCAGAGCCTGTTAGTCAGTTATATTTTCACTTTATGGTTTAGCATAAACAGAATATTCTAGTCCTCTTTAACAAAGTCTAACACTTATTTGAGCTCATTCTATAGCAACTGTCTGTAGTTTCTTCTTCCTGTGATACTGGAATTGGGTAGAGAGCTGGGTGGATTAAAAGTGAAGATTTAAAACGAGTATACCGCACTTGGAAGATTAGGGCATATTTGTTGAGTTTTCTAATTGGTATGTGAGTCTCATAGATTCAGAGATTTTGAATTTTTTCAGGTATGTTTTCTACATGTCAGAGTTCCAAACATTACTGATGCTCAGTTAAGATCAACAGATGGAACTGATGATGAGATCATATTTGAAATATAAATTATCTGATATCCTGCCAAATGAAATACTGTGGCAGTCAGGATTCATTTTTATCTAAATGAAAAAAAATTCCCCGAAGAGGAAGAAAGAGGGCATGTTAATTACTATATAATTATTCTGGTATATCTATTGCTCCATTTAGTCTTTCCTTTTGTAATGCGTGCCAGTAATTATCTTTTCAAATCTTACCTAGATCCTCCGCCCCAAAACCCCAGCATTCTTTCTCTTGTTTCCCATTCGACACATATGTAACGTGATGACATGAAACCTTCCTTAATATATATGTTCATGCCTCATTTATTCTGTTGCAGGGGCTTATGCTCTGATGGTAACTGAGGCAATGTTCTTTTAAATCTTTTTTTGACACCTATGAACATGTTCTTCGACTTAAAATGAATGCTTTTAAAAATACCAATTGACGTATTACTTTTCTTTTTTCTCCTTTTATTTATCATCATACCAGAATAATGCTAAGATTTTTTTTGTTTGCTTGAGTGTTGCAAAAATAATAAAAACGGCCCCCACACATAGAAATAGTCTTCTCCCTGGGCTTAATTCACAGCTTGGCACGATACTCTAAATATTGCTGCATTTCTGGCTGTCAGGCTTCATGTCAGGACTAGGCATCCATGTTGTTATTCTCCTGCTGACATGACTTTTACAGAATGTGGAGCCACACACCTTCTGATGAAATTTATAGATATGCCCACTTACCTTACAAATTGAAGGACTAACTCTAAAAACAAAATTATAATTCAAATCCAGCCTTCCATTATCTGATTTTTTAGATTTACAAATGACACTAGAATTGGAATCAGACAGAACCCTAGGACACAATCTTTGTTGAATGGCAAAGAAAGTTGGTTACTTAAAAAGCCCCATTAATCATAGTCAGAAATAAATGGCATCCTTTCATTGCAGTGCAAAGGACATGCAGTAATAGTTTCAGAGCTTGGCTAAAATCATACTCTTTTATAAGCTATGTTTGATTCTAATATGCTCTCTTATTATTCATTGATATTCAGATGTGAGTGTCTTATTTATTTGCTAACATAGCTGGAAATATATTGTAACTAGGATAAAATACTGCTGTTGAATCTATGATTATGTAACTTAGTTGTTATATAAACTAGATAATCATAAGTCAAGTCATACTATTTCCACATCTGGCTATGATTTGCATCTCCTAGGTATTAGAAAATTTGTAGTATAATATTGTTGGCCAAAGAATGAATACTGCAGTTTTAGATGAATATCATGTAGTTAACAGGAAATTCACTACTGTAAAGGATATTTTAAATCTTGCTTCTACTCTAAAAAGCTGTCTAACATTTTAATTCTATATAATTTACTGAAAACCTACTACATACAGAATTCTATAAATTATATCAAGATAAAGATGTGGGAACTGGATGACATTTTGTTAACTGAAATAAGCCAGGCACAGAAAGACAAGTTTCCCATGTTCTCACTCATTTATAGGAGCTAAAAGTTAAAACAACTGAACTTATTGGAGATAGTAGAATGATGGTTACCAGAGGCTGGGAAGGATAGTGAGGGAGGAGGGAAATGGGGATGGTTAATAGGTACAAAAATATAGTTAGATAAGATAAATAAGATATAGTCTTTGATAGCACAACAGGGTGACTAAAGTCAACAATAATTTATTGTACATTTTAAAATAACTGTAAGAGTATAACTAGAATGTTTATAACATAAAGAAAGAATAAATGCTTGAGGAGATGGATACTAAGTTACTCTGATGTGATCATTATGCACTGTATGCCTGTATCAAAATATTTCATGCACCCCATAAATATACACAGCTACTATGTACCTATAAGAACATTTTTAAAAAGATAGGTAATGTGAAATACAAAGGTGAAACAAAAGATAAAGATGTGATTCTTGTCTTTACAAAGAATTTACTATCTAGGAAAACCGATAGGTAAACTATCCATTATGCAAAATACACAGCATTATATAAATAAATTCAAAGTAATGAAAATAATTTTTTAGAATAGCAGAGCATATCATCGACATAATCACTTTATTAGATTATAATAGTAATTAAGGGCTTTTTCATAGTTACTAAAGAACACTGTCAATTACATATAAAATATTTTTAAGTGTTATGATATCACATAAAGATTTTATCAATTATGTTAAATAGAATCAAAATGAGGTAAGCAGTCCTGAGCTACTGCACCCTTACATGTCAACACTTATTACATCATCCATGGATAATGACCTATTTTGCATGAGTACCAATTCAGAGATGTTGCTACTCACAACAATAGCTGGGCTTATTTATTTGATGTTTTTGTTTGCAAGAGTTATTTAACTGTCAGCACACAGAGCAGCAGAAAGAGAAGCAGAATACATTTGTGCCAGGGAAGAAAGTATTTAGAAAAGAAAGAGTTATCCATATGCCCTGAAAAAGCTTTACTTGGATGAGAACTAGAAAGTGTCCATTCTGCTTTTCAATGAGAAGGTCATTGGTGCACTTAGCATGAGCAGGGTTAATGGAATGCTGGATATAGAAGACATTTTTCAGATTGAGAAATTGAGGAGAAAATGGGAAGAGGTGAGAATGTGGAAATAATCAGGGAATATCATCAGAATAATGAAGTAATAAGATGAAGGGTATGCCAGTTTGATGAATATGGGATAGAGAAACATCTAGATTATGGGAACTGGTTTGGGAAGGAGAAGACTAGGTCTGTCCCATGGGGGGTTGCTGAGCCTGAAAAGGGAACATGGCAAGGGGCATAGCAGCAGCTTGTAGTTAGTTAAATTAAAGCCTCCCTCATAAATCTTGTAAATTGCTATGGAGGTTCTTGCTGCTACATCATCAATATCTCTGGTCTGGCACAATTTGTCAGTATCCAAAACTGGTGGATTCAAGGAGAAAGGTGTGTGTGTCTGTGTGTGTCTAACGCCACTTATTGATTTGAGTCAAGAAAGGAATAAGATTCTGTAATCCTCACTGCATTTAATGCCACCATGCTGGAACTGTAGAGTAGATTTAATAACCATTTAGGTTGGACTCTTTCCAAAGCAGCTTAGTACTGAAATAACATGTTCAAAGGCCACAGTCTGGACTCCCAGGTTTCAGTACATGGAGGAATAACCAACATTGTAGCTTGGGTAAAATTACCTGCAGCTGTAACTATAGTATTTATTTATGCCGTAGTTCAAAAAGGGCATACTAAAAATAAGCAAAGATTTTCCTACTTTTACAGCCTGAAGCTATTCACGTAAACCCAAGATAAGATGGAATGTCTTGAGTTTTCCCTTTTCTACAAACACTCAAGAGTAAAAGTAGAGAATTCATCTTCAAAGATGGATTGATAATAATCATTGTTAAAGGTGGTTATTCTGGGTCCTAGATTTTTCCTAAGGCATTTTCTGACACTAACATTTACTGTCTTCTGATTCCCTAGTATTCATATTTAGTTCAGATGACATCTTATAAGAAAATTTGATACTTTAAATCTTTAAAGTTAAAGCACTGTCGTAGAGTCTGTAAGTTGGTGGTTCTCTACTACTACTTCACCCCTTCATCCAAAGCAGTGGGATTTTAACTTGGACCTATGGACAGTCAGAATAAATATATTTCCTTGCTTCTCTTTCAGCTAGATATATGGCTCTGTGACTAAGTTGTGGGCAATGGGTTATAAGTGGAACGGTTGTGTGGAGGCTTCAGGAAACTCTCCTTAAAAGACTGTATGAATATACTTTTTATCTTGCATAGCAGGTCACATTCAGAAGCTTCAAAAACTTCAGTTTATTTTGTATGTTTGGAAGGACAAGAAGGGATATGTGGAGAATTGGCATGGGCTGTGGAAAGAGCTTCTAAGACTGGAGAGGTGAACAGGCAAGGGATATATTACAAGAGCTTTCTCTATCATTTAAAGAAATTTAGGTTTTACTTCATAGACTCTCAGAAAAGAGTGACAAAACAATGTGTCTTAGAGGGATGATTACAGCTGAAGTGTGGAAAATACAATGGATGTGGGAAACACAGAAATGGGAAAATCACTTAGGAACCCACATGGTAGTAATCCAGGTGAGAAGTAATGGGGGCCAGATTTAGGACCATGCAGAGGAAGGAGAATAGTTTCTAGATTAAGGATACAGAATAAATCAGCTTAGTGATTAATGACACATAAATCATAGAGAGATGATTTGAGTCAGACTACTATCTATTCTACTGGTGGTCATTCTACTTCTATTTTCAGATTGAACTCTTAGGGTTTTTTTGACCTTCAGAAGCACATATTTTTCCATTTGGATTTCAGGTGTCAGTTGACTTCTGATGAAAACTATCCTTGCAGCCACCTCCTTCATCACCCAAAGTAGTATAATAAATTATGACAGAGGTCTGAGAAACCCATTTTTCTCTCTGGTTATAGACATCAATGATTCTAGAAACAATCTGTAGATTTTGAATATTCCCTATGAATACACTGATCTCTTTTCAAGTTTGCCTCCATCATTATTTATCTTCTTAGCACTGTGGGCCTCCACAAACATCTTTTTACAATAAAGGCAATGTGTTTCTATTTTAAGTAAAGCATTTTTGAAAAATTTGAATAATTTTAAACTCAAATAGCAAAAGACTAATTTCCAATCAGAATAAATATCTAGCATAATTACTATATAGCTATTATTTTGCTCATAAAGTACAACTTTTTCTTTTATCTGTTTTACTATATATTTTATATATCACACTATATAAAATTTATAATTCTGATTTGATACTTTTTTATATCACATTATATAAAGCTCACAGTTCCAATGTGTGTAAAAACAACCATTGTATTTTTATAAGGGAATTAAAATATATGTTTGTGAGTTAACAGGCACTCAAACAAGGTCTTTGTCTAATATTAAGCATGTAAGGTATGTAAGACATAATTTTGAGTGTCAAACCTATTCAATATTGCGATACCTTGGGAAAGCAGTGTTAAGCAAAAGATTAGACCCTTTCAAAGGGGGTTTCACCATGGAGAGAATGACTTGGACTGTAGTATGGTCCCTAAAGGATGGAAAGGGTTGATGAATAAAGATGGTGAGGAGGAAGGAGCTGCTGCATCATAAAGCAAAGGCACAGAGGCAGGAGCTTGGAGAATGCTTAATAAATTATTAATCATTGATAGTTAATAGAGCAGGCTGCTGGAGTAATGTATTCATAAACTACATTATGCTTTATTAGTATTTCACAATACAGTTGAACCTCATAACAGCCCTGTGAAGTAGATATTATCCCCACCATAAAGGTGAAGAAATAAAAACAATTTATGTGACTTACATCAAAGCATAACCCCACTAAGTGGCAGAAATGTGAATGAACTCAAGTCTTCCATTCTCCAGCTTAGGGACTTTTCACCACACTTCAGCATGCAGAGAGAGCGATGAAATTAGCAAGGAAGGATGAGGCTGTGATGTGAAGGCCTTTCAATCACAGTCACCATTAATTCCATTCTTTCTCTCACAATCACATCTCGTATTTTAGCATATTCTGTCAAGGCTACCTTCAAAATATATCAAAAACCTGGCCATTTCTTCCTACCGACACTGCCTCCACCCAGGCCCAAGCCTCTTGTTTGCAAATGCCTCTTTACATGTCTTTTATTTCCTCCACCTTTGCCCGCTTTGCACTACTCATAGCATAGCTTCAGGAATGGAACTTTTCAGGCAAGCCAGATCATACCACTTACAGGTCCAAACTCTCCAATTGCTCCTTTATACTGACGTCATCCACTGCTCTCTTGCTCTCAAACATCACCAGACATCTGGCTGCTTTGCCAGGGGTGCTCTGGCTCAGGCTTCACCCTGCTGTGCTTTCCCCAAGATGGGTCTTCAGGGTTTTGCCTTTATGTTCTTAGGTTTCTACCCAAATGCCCTCTCTTCAGTGAGGCCGTTCTGGGTTACTTTATCTAAAATTTCAGCTCCTTCATCCTGTGCTTTTCTATTCCTCTTCTCTGCTTTACTTTCTCCCCAACACTTCACCACCACCTAATATACTCTAGATTTTACTCACTCACCTTGTTTATTGTCTCTTTCCCATACTAAAAGGTAAGCTCATGAAGTCAGGAGGCTTGTTTTGTTCACTGTGCCTAGAAGAAGACTTGGCATCTAAAAGGGACTCGATAAATAGTTTTGGATAATTAAATACTGAAAGTTTAGAAATTACTCCACTGATCATTGTGAAACAATACTGAAACAGTAGAAACCTTCGAAGCTTTGGAGCAGAGAAGAGACAGATTTATAAAACTGCTTTTATAATGCTAGTTTGATATAGTGGAAATGATGCATCCGAAGAGTGGAAAGAGAAGGAGGACAGGGAATCCAAATAGGAGACTACTGAAATTAATACAGGCATAATGCCAAATCTCCTGTCACTTAGACCAACTCCAGAAAAAGTGGAAAGAAAGGAGAGTGTTGATTGTTTGCTTTTCTCTAAATTCTACACTCCCCCCACCCCACCAATCCTGTACTTATCTGTATAAGAGCCAGGAGATATTTCATTGTATCAGGTGGAGCCATATGACATTTTCATTTCTGCTGATCAAAAATAGTCAAATATCAGCAATGTCTTATTGTTCATCCCAGAGATAGCTTCTGAATGAATAATAAGTAATATTACTGACATCGGAATGAGCTGAAAACTACTTAATTTATACTTTGTACATTTTGGTCCTGAAAGAATGTGGCAAGTAAATGCAAAAACTCTACAACTCTACAAATGGCAGAGAGAGGTCATGAGTTGTAGAAGCCCAGAGTCCCACATATCTCAGCAGGAATACCTTTAGAGATATCCTAAGGTAGCCTTTAATAGTAATCTCCAATTTTCATAATCTTTATTTATAGCAACCATCCTGAGTCATTAATAAGAGCTAAAATAAGCTTCAGAAACTTAGGATTGAAGTAAGTGTGAAATTCATTTCAGAAAGGACTCCATTCTAAATGATAAAAACAGAAATATTTTTGGTTCATAAAAACAAATCCTGAGCTAACCTGCAAAACTGACTCATTAATTGAGGGTGCAAGATAGCCAGTGCTGTCCAAAGAATTCTGGTTCTTAAAAGAGCAATTAATTTATTCTACCGTATGTTGAAGTTTGAGTCCAACAGATCTCATTAATTAATCATAAAAGCAATCACTAGCAACGAAACTCAAAGAAGTGTTACACAACATATTAAGTATCAGCTTGTTATATTCACATGCCAAGCTGTGTACTGTAAATAATATTAATTTGGATCTGGCTTTTATACACAAAGCCAAAACCATTCATTTTGGTTGATTTGAAAGTGATATTTTAAACTGTTACTTTCGTCTTTTCTTTAGAGCAGGAGTAGCAGTACATAATTTTCTTGTGATGATTCTGGTGAAAGGATTTGCATACAATTATGGAGACAATTTCTGTTCCTAGCAGGAAAAAACACAGGATGAAGTAAGTATTCACCATATGATTCGCCTAATTTTTATATCCTACTGAGACTAGCTCAGTTCTAGGAAGTAATTGTAAACTCATGTCAGGGACTGAGAGTGAATACATTTGATTGCTCACTATTAAATTTCTTTAGTGGAGAAATGACACTGAGGTGATTATCTAAATACAGAGTGATTTATTGAACAGCATGCTAGGTGACAAATGATGGGATCAGTGGTAGCCTCTGTTACTTTTAACGGCAAACGTTCTGTTTCTCATTTCAACTCTGTGGTTCTGAGGCAGGTTATTTAAATTTCTTAATCTTCCACCTTTGACTTTCTATGTAATGAAGAAGATTAATGTAGGATTTTATTAGTCATGATAATCTTTTCTATAGCTGTAAATAAAAATCAGCTTCATTCCACTGTGGAGTAACTTATAAGGCTGCTGTTCATTTGAGGGAAGTAGATTGCGGATTCTTCATAGGTAAAGAAATTCATCCCTACAACTCTGGGAAAGTCATAATGTATAACTCAACATCCCACACTCCCTCCAAACGAAAAACAAAAACCTAGCTCTTTTTCTTAAATTCCGTATTTGGTCATTAGTCATTTACTTATCACTTTAGTCAGAAACCTAAGAGATTCTCTCAGACTCATTACTCAGCTTCACCCTCATCCCACACCAATCCTGACATTTCTTCCTAAATATTACATTTAAGACATTTCATGAGCAGTTCTCTATTTATTTCTTCTTTCACTTTTCACTCAATGAATATTTGTTGAGCATTTCCTACATTTCAGGCCACTGATCCAGAGGCTGCCGATATAGAAATGGAACAGTAGGATGTGCTTTTCTTCATGAAGCTTACATTCCAGTGGCTGAGGCAGACAAGAAGTAATACACAAATACATTTATAATAGAAGGACAAGAGGTAGTAAGTACTATGAAGGAAAATAAGGGAAAGGAGGAATAGAAATGACCAGGAGTGGTGACAGGAGGGATGGATGTTTATCTTCCCAAACCAATCTTTCACTGTGTCTCTTAGGTATGCGCCACTCAACTCATACTGAAGATTGGTGGTTCTCTGAATAAACCAGATTCTCTCTTGCCTTTAACGGAATGCAATGGCTATTCCCTGCGCTAAGAGAGTCTGTATGCCCTACACTCACTGGCAACTTCTAATCTTTCTTTAAGTCTCAGCTTCAGCTTCAGACCATTTCAGAAGCCTTCTCTGGCCTCATCCATGTGGGGTTGTTGTCTTTTTTCTTTACATTTCCCTAGCTGTTTGTACAGTAATTACAGCTCATGCTACTCTGAATTAATTAAATCATTTATTAAATAAGTCCTATGTGCTACTTTGGAAAGTATTAAGTATACAGCGTGCCTGTCACTAACCTCAGGGATGTGAAATTATAACTGTAATTGCTAGTTTACCTGTCTACTTCCCTTTAAGTATGAGACTAGCTTTTATTCATTTTGATTTCCCTATTTTTTTCACACAAAGGAAAGAATAAGCTCAACAAGAGGGAATTAGGTTGAATTAAATGACAAGGGTAAAAATTCTGCCCTTTTTCTATATCCCTTCCCATTTGATCAAGCCTAATAATAATAAAGGTAATAGTAATAACAATTATTGAAGGCCTGACAAATCCATGACCTTTAATATTGTATTAAGTGCTTTATTGGCATGGTGTTAGTTTTATTATCTTCATTTTATATAAAGGAAACTGATGATACAGAAGTTAAGTTCTTGGCCAAGAGCATGTAGCTATTAATTGGTAAAGCCTCATTCTGTCTGATATTACAGTCTGCTTTTTATTCTCCTCATGATATGGTCTATAATACAATGCAAACTTAATTCCATTCAGTTTGGGTTAATTTTATTCCCCTATTAAGGATTCATTTTTGACCTAGACATATCCCTGACCACGAAGCACTGCTGGATACAATGATATTTCCAAGAAGTGTGGTGGCTTCTGCTCTTTACATTGAGCGTATGCTTGCTGCTTTCACTCTAAGTTCACAGGGACGTAAAGCCCCCTTCTCCCAATTCTCCCCTCCCCAAATGTCTCTGGTAGCTCTAGCCCAAACATTAGAACCATTGCAAAGATTACAATAATGAACACAGTTTCTTTCTTCAGAATACCCTGTGAGTGCTGCCCTGTGGTCCAGTTTGGTTAATGATGTTGTCCCGGCACTGCTCAGGACACACTATCAACTGCCTTCTCTCTGTAAGGACATCAAACATTAAACCGTAGAATTAGGTTGACTTTAGTCAAAAAGCTTTTGAGTTACTACTTAGATCTATCTATATGCTTGCCCAAGTTCTTCCCTTCTAGAAACAGTCACAAAACCCCATAGGACTATTTCACAAATTAAGTTTGAATTATGGTATAGAATAACTTTTATTGATGCAGGGATAAATGTAGGCAAGTTTTCTGAATAGGTATTAAGATGGTAAAGCCAAAAAGTACTTATATTTTAATTAGAATAAATTTGCCTGAGAATTATAATGAATGCAAAAAAAGTCTACAATAACTTATATAACTGTAACAAATTGGAACCAAGTTTGTATTATCAAGAGGAGAAGTCAGATCAAGTTATTTATTTTTCATCAAATATTTACAATGTGGCAATTAGTCAGTTTTGCTTTGCTTTTTTTTCACAATGGTACCGTGTGCCACCGACATTTTGGTAGAAACTCATTAAGGTTTTCGAAGTTTACTTTCATGAAACTGATAGGCACAATCAAATGAATTGTGCTGGTGAATTAAATTGTTATACATATTTGGGCAAACACTGGTATCATACCTCTAAAACTGGCAAGTTTAGTTGCAGTGTGACAGAACACAGAAAATACATTAAGTAATTTGTTAGTTCAAATCCTTTTAATAAATTTGGCTTAAAAAACCCGAGAACAACAAATTCCAGTAAAGAATCCTAGGGTTGTTTTTTAGAGCTAATTATGACTGTAAAGTTTGAGATATTAATGCCTATGTTATATGTTTGGTAGTTAAGCTTGCAGAAAGAAAAGGATAACCACTGTTGTATGAAATTCTATTTATACTGGCTTAATAGTCCTGGGAGAGCTGCTTCCAAGCTTATAGAGCTTAGCACTCTCCTTATCTGAGGCTTCTGCACTGGTCCTGCCTCATTTGATCCATCACCTGACAGTGAAAACTACTTTGGCTGTGCTGCTGCTGCTAATCTGTTTAAATAGGTAGTTCAGCGTCATTGCCAAATTGACCACTCCAATTGATGCCTCAATTAGCTATTCATTTTACAAAAGGCAAACTTGTATATATTCCAGATCTGTAGATTTATTATTATGCTGGTCATTGCCACTCAGAGGTTACACTAGGTGTCTCCTTCAGAACTGAGCTGGATACTGTCCATCCAGATCCACATCCACTTTTTATTTTGCCTGACCTTGCTCTGTATTGGTATTAGAAGAGGCTGACCAGTATGGTCTGCAGCTGTGTGCTTTGGCTTCCAGTTGAGTTGATTAAAAGGAATCATGTGCAACATATCAAAGGGAGAAGAGGGAATTCAGGTATTCTTTTGTTTTTTCTTTTTTTTGAGATGGAGTCTAGCACTCTGTCTCCTAGGCTGGAATGCAGTGGCGCAATCTGGGCTCACTGCAACCTCCGACTCCCAGGTTCAAGTGATTTTCCTATCTCAGCCTTCTGAGTTTCTGAGATTACAGGCACCTGCCACAATGCCCAGCTAATATTTTTGGATTTTTAGTAGAGACGGGTTGTCGCCATGTTGAGGGTGGTCTCGAACTCCTGACCTCAGGTGATCCACCTGCCTTGGCCTCCCAAGGAAGTCAGGTATTCTTTACATGATTCCTTTCCTGCCAGGTCGACGTGGGGGTGACTGAATCCCTAAATAAAGGCCCTAGTCTCTGCCATTCAGCATTCTCCATACAGCTGCACTCTCCACACAACCACATCTTCACCTTCCTTGCCTGTTCCGACTTATGGTGGTGAAGACTCCCTGCTCTTGCTACCTCTGAGATGGGGCACCATCTTTTTTCTTGTTGGTGTCCCTAAAGCTTGCCCACACCTTTTAAAAGCAGTTGCATTATTAAGCACTTTTTTGATGACCCAGTTAGAGTGCACCATTAGTTTCCCACCAGGATAGCAACTAACTGATGTAGCTTTGAGCTCAAAGCAGTATATGTTTGGTAGAAGAAATGCATAGGTATTAATTTTCTACCCATCCGGTTATTTTCCCACTTTAATGTAAATTCCAGTAATTGCATGAGACAGTTTGTAACTTTCACTATGCTTTCATTACACTCTGGGGACAGAAAAAGTGTATGTTCTAACCTTACATCTTCTAAAATGACCACTTTAAAATAAACTATATTTTAATGTTGTGCCAAAAATTAGGAAGGTACATTTATTCTAAATCATCACGTTGTACATGTTGAATATTTACAATCTTTTTCAATTAATTTTTTTAATATTAAGAAAGCTCTAACACAAGAGTTTACAATTTCAAAGAGTACAAAAAAGTGCTGCCTGCTGTCCCTTCTCATATTTTAGTTGTACCCTAGTGATCTTGACTTCTTTTACATTTAGACAAAGGCTATTTTTTTAACAAATAATAAGCAAATGTTCTCCATTATGCTAATGAAACCATTTTAATCAACTAGACGTGGCCTGAAAAGCAAAGGCTTTTGCCATCCAATTGCTGCCACAAATAATGGCTTACTTGACATGAAAGATGTCAAAATTATCATTTTTGGAAGACATTATCCAAAATTAAATTGGTTAATTCCACAAAATTCTGCTCAGCAAGTCTACTAATTAAATCTCATGGAGTATATTTTCCAGCCACCTATTCTGGCAGGCTCACCAGATAGTTACAAAGTCCAGAACCAAATATTCTATAGGGCCATCTACAGGGATTTTCGGTGGTTTGAATGGGTCAATTTCAACACCAGTAATTAAAGTTTTCCAAATCTAATATTTCTCCATTATGGTTTGGAACTTTAAGGTCACAATCAAGCAATTATATAAATGTTCTACCTGACAGATCCAAAGTTGCTTTTTGGGGAAGTTCTAGCTTTGTCTAAAAATAACTTTCCATAGGGAGGTAGGATTACCTTTTCTGTAAATTTTTCAGCATTCAAAATAAAATGTCTTATCCTGCCACTTCACCATCTGGCTCTTAAAACATATGGATGTTGATTCAGTGAGTAACAAAAAAAATGCAGTATTTTAGATTCTCATTAAATGTATTCTTGAATTACCTGCTATCTTTGTATCAAATGCTAGAGATAAAGAGGTTTTTTATGGAATATGTTTCCCCTTAAGTTGCTGATATATTTTACACTATAGCTTGTGCTCTAATGCAGAGGTCCCCAACCCGTGATCTGCAGACCCCTACCGGTCCCTGGCCTGTTAGCAACTTGGCTACACAGCAAGATGTGAGCAGTGGGCAAGGGAGCATTACTGCCTGAGCTCCACCTCCTGTCAGGACAGCAGTGGCATTAGATGCTCATAGGAGCATGAACCCTATTGTGAACTGCACATACAAGGGATCTAGGTTGTGTGCTCGTCATGAGAATCTAAGATCCTGATGATCTGAGGTGGAACAGTTTCATCCCCCCAATTTTCCTGGAAAAATTGTCTTCCAGGAAACCGGTCCCCGGTGCCAAAAAGATTGTGTGCTCGTCATGAGAATCTAAGATCCTGATGATCTGAGGTGGAACAGTTTCATCCCCCCAATTTTCCTGGAAAAATTGTCTTCCAGGAAACCGGTCCCCGGTGCCAAAAAGATTGGGGACCGTTGCCCTAATGGGTTATTGGATGGCACCAGCTCATCCTCACCTGCAGAATTGGGTTACAAGGTATACAGTAATGTTACTCTTTCAACTTTTATTGAGACTCTTTGCAATAAGATACAGTATTTAGACAGTCTCTGTGTTGGTTGTAAAGCTCTTTAAAGAAAATATTTTTTACCAATGTTCTCCAAAAAAGGTCTCACATTTAACTTTTCTTTATGATTCCATCATTAGGATGATCCTTCTTGGAGAGTTGGTATACTAAATATTTTTTGTGGTAATAGGAATTACACATCAATAATTTTGTTTTCCTCACTGATTACCAAGAAGTTCAGAGCAAATATTATATTCAGTTATCATTGTTGTATCAGCCCTTGTTTTTGCAAGTTGTTTTTTCCTTGTTTTTCATGGCTTTGGCTTCTATTTCTTTTAAAATAATTTGTACATATTTATGTGTGTAATAGTCATATGTGTGTGAATTACATATATGTAATTACATATATGTTCATTACAAAATATATTATGTATACATGCATTCATTGTATATTAAGCCACCTCAGATCCATTTTGCAAGGAGTTAAGAAATGAATATGTATGTAAATATTTTCTGAAGTCATTTTAATCAATACCTCTTCCTCCTCACTTCTTCCAAATTAACTACAGGTGTTGTCAAAACAATTTATATGCAATAAAATTTTAAATAATCAGCAATTTGAAAATGAATTTGCTTTCCAAATTCCAAATACTAGTTTTCTAATTTTTAGAATTATTGACACAGAAATACTATATATACCACAAGAAATGGTATATGCAGATTTCCAAAATACTTAAATATTGTTAGGTCAGGAAATTTTTCTTATTATTAATTGTATAGATAAGCACACCATAAATATTTATTGATCAGTTATTTTTCTTCTTTGCTTTGACAAATAAAAACACTTTGTTTCTCTAAGAAGGAACTACATGAACCATAGTAAACATTTACTGAGTGTTTACTCTGTACTCTGTTAAGGGCTTCACACTTCTTATTTCCTCAAAACAACTCTATGGGATAGTTTTTGTTTGTTTGTTTGTTTGTTTGTTTTGAGACGGAGTCTCTCTCTGTCGCCCAGGCTGGAGTGCAGTGGCGTGATCTAGGCTCACTGCAAGCTCCGACTCCCGGGTTCACGTCATTCCTGAGGCTCCTGCCTCAGCCTCCCAACTAGCTGGGACTACAGGCACCCACCACCACACCTGGCTAATTTTTTTGTATTTTTAGTAGAGACAGCATTTCACCGTATTAGCCAGGATGGTCTCTATCTCCTGACCTCGCGATCTACCCGCCTCGGTCTCCCAAAGTGCTGGGACTTACAGGCGTGAGCCACCGTGCCCGGCCTGGGATAGGTATTTTTATCCATACTTTTTTCAGATGAAGAAACAGGATTAGCAAATCTAGGGGCAGATTGTGTTTTTTAAGATGGTTACAACAAAATCTATCTTCCTACATGCTCTTCTTACCATGTAACATTGATGCTCCTCCCACTGAACTGCAGGGGTCAAGGTTCCCTCTCCTTGTCTCCAGGCAGGCTAGTGACTGCTGAGGAAGTGATGCTATGTGACTTCCAAGGCTAGATCATAACGGCCAATAGATTCTTCCTGGTCCCCTAGGGGTGGTTGCTTTTGGAACCACATACCATGATGTAAGGAAGCCCAAGCAGCCACAGCAAAGAATACATGTAAGTGTTAACAACTGATAACCCCAGATGAAGTTCCAGCTGACAGCCATGACCAACCACCAGACACATGAATGAGAGAGTCTTTGACATCAGTCAACCCCAGTGACCATCTGGCTGAAATTTCATGAGACACACCTGAGTGAGAATCAAGTAGCTAAGCCCACTCACCTGCAAAACCATGTGAGGTAATAATAAAATGATGGTCGTTGTTTAAAGTCACTAAATGTGGAAGTAAATTGTTATACAGCAATAGATTACCAGAACATTGACCAAGGTCACACAACTACTAAGCAGAGCCTGAACACATGCCTAGGCAGTCTTACTTAATCACCTACATTCCCGCTGTGCCATACTGCTCCTGTTTACTGTCTTCTATAAACCGCAGAAGCCTGCATAGAGAAACACAGGTTTCTATATATAGATGCACAGAATAGTAAGTGTGTTTGTGTGTGTGCAATAGTAGTAGCAGTAGTGGTAGTAGTACTAATAGTAATAGTAGCAGTAATGGTAGCAGCAGCAGCAGTAATAAAGTCTGGATAGCACTAATGATGGTAATAAAAAATTCTAGATAAAGGAACCATTACCTGAAACTTTTAGGATCTTTGGAGAAATAATTCTTAACATATTTTCCCAGTGACATAAGTCCTAAAAATGTACAAAGACTACATTATGCTGTGGTTGGATATTTACCTTATTAAAAGCTGTTACTGAATAGTTTGTTCTTAATGCAAAGGTCCTGTTTTACAATTGCTCTTCAGTTCATTAATTTTCATTTTATTCCCTGCAAGGGCATTTAGGGTCTGGAATATACAGCTGTAAAATATAGCTCTCACTAGAATTCATAATTTACTATGTCTCAATATTGCATTTGAAGAGGTCCTTGAAACATGGTGAGGTCAGAGTGGAGTAGAAAAGAAAACCATTTGGCATATTTAATAATGGACTATTTGTCCACAGAATAATCTGAAATCTTTTCAAGTATGTCTGAAGGTGACTTGTATCACAAACTCACTCATATTGGGTTGGTCACTTTATAGAAATTGGAAGGGGAGGTTATATCCATTTCATTAAATTTTTAGCTCAACAATGTTTAACTTTGATTGCTTATTATAAGTAGGGTGACTGTACAATTTATCATAGCTACCAAGACAATTTCAAGAGTGAAAGGGGGCATTGGGCACTGTTAAGATTACACTAGGATATCAGGTACAAACCAGGACTATGTAGGTAACCCAAGATGCAGGAGCCAGTTACCAGGCTATGTCTTAGAAAACAGAGATAAATAAGACACTGCCATCAAGCAGTTCATAATCTTCAAATTCCTCTTCTTTTTGTAACTGAGAGCTGGCGAAAAGCATTGACAGAAAAAAAGCGACCAATGGAGGAGGTCACATAAAGTCCAGAGATGTTATCCATCAAGAGGTCTTAAGTATCCAGGCAGTTCTTGAATCTCTTGTATCATTTTTCTCATCCTTATCTGGCCAAAGGTCAATATCTATGCTTCTGAGGAGTCACATACGATCGTCCCAGCACTTCCATTTTATTTCAGAAACCTATGAAACTACTAGAAATTCTCTGAGATAGCTAGAACTGAGGGCCAGGAACTGGAATCAAGTGTTTGAGAGCAAAGGATTCTAGATCTCCAGTGTTTGTGAGATGTTGAATCCAAGATTATTGGAATTGCACTGAAATTCCCGTGGAGAGCAATCAAGGCTTTCCTGGTTTTGGAAGACTGAAACAGGTGATACAGTTGGTTTGACAGAATGTATCAATTGGATTTTATTCCTGAAGAGCCAAATTAATTTTTAGGTATATGAGAGTATTCAAAGATAGGCTCTAATAAGTTATATATTGAATGTTATTATTTATTGCCTATTATATGTTTCAAACCAATTTAAAACTTTAAATAAACCCAGTAGTATCCTTTATAAAACAACATAAAGTGTAGATTTGAAGATCAAGTGACCCTATTAGGCAAGCAAATTCCACTGCCAATTCTAATCCATGTTGAATCAAAGCATTTTTCAGCTGGGAGGAATCATAGTGACAATTTAATCAAACTCCTGATGTGAACACAAAGGATGAGCCAGAGTGGTTTGCCCAAGGCAGAGCGCTTGGAAGAGCGAGGATCTTAAAAACAAACAAATGAAAAACCCCAAAAACAAAACTGCTTTCACGGCTCTGAGGACATTGTCCTTGTCCTTGGGGAATTCAGGACAGAGAAAAGTTAGAGGAAGTCAACAGTCTTCAAGAGGATTTGAGCCATTTGCAGAATAGAGCAAAGGAAAAAAAGAGCAAAATAAGTTTCTGAGTTTCTATTAAAATGAATCCTTTAACAGGGCACTTACAGGTCATTCAAAAATTTGGTTCTTTTTCTCTTAGCATCATATTCTTCCAGGAACAGATATGCAGTAAGAATTCTTGAGTCCTTCACCAATTGGTTGATCTCAGCCTCAGCAGACCTGAAACTTCACTTTCCTGTGTGTTTCAGGGAAAGAGATATCTTTATTGTATCGTATTGCTTTCACTCTTTCATTTCTCCTTTAAAATCAATGGCGGCCACACCTTTTAAAAAGATTAAGAGTGTGTGGGCTGAGACTCATGATATGATTATCTCGTGATCTACTTAAACAAATTGACAGTCAAAGTATTAGGTGGTTGAGCAATGTGAAAAGTGGTTCAGTATCAACGTGTGCCAGGAAAGTACCATTTAATCTTGTCAGTAAACCCCTTTGGTTCTACCTTCAACATATACATGGAAACTTCTCAATAGCTTCGCTGCTGTTGTCCTAGTACAAGTCCCATCATCTCTTACCTCAGTTACTGCAGTAGTTTCTTAAGGTCTCTTCTTGTTTTGGCCCGAGATCCCTCTCAGCCTGTCCTTATCATAGCAGTCACACTAATCGTGTTTAATTTAAAGTCATATCCTGGTACACCTCTACTCAAAATCCTCCAATAGCTTTCCATGTCCCTCAGGGCAAAGGAAAGAGTCCTTACAATGTCATTCTCTCTCTACTTCTTGGACACCCTTCGCCTGTCCTTGGCACCTTGCTCACTCTATTCTGGTCAAACTGGTTTCATTGCCATTCATCAGTCAGAGAAGGTATATTCTCTCCTTAGGGCATTGCACATGCTCTTTCCTCTATCTTGAATGCTTTTCCCCAGAAAACCAGGTGTTCCCCTCACCCCTTTCATGTTGCACTCAGATGGTAACTTCTCAATGAGCTCTTCCCTGGGACTTGATGTGAAAAAGTAAATTTAAAAAATTAAAAAACACCCCACTTATACCCCCAATGCTTAGTACATAGTAGGTACTCAGTAAATATTAATTCAATGAGAGAAAGACAGTTGTTTGTGTTCCTATTAGCTGTGACATTCACAGCACAGAAGTAAGAATCTCTTTTATGATATCTCTAGCTTCTTATGGGGAGAATAAGACAACCTGTTTAAATCGGAAGACTGCATATCCGAACTGGAGTGAGATCTCAGTGTGATTTTGGACTCAGGTGCTCCACGGTCTTTGGATCAACAGCAACAACAAAAATGGAGGCACCCATCTGGACTTGCCAAGTCTTTATTTTAACAAGTCAGGATGACAAGAAAATGTACAAAACCTATAACCACCATCTCAATCTGCATAATTTATGAAGGAAACACTTGAATTCTAGAAAAGTAGGAAAGACATAATTTTAGAATAAAAAACTCTTTTTCAAATGAAAAAAAAACCCAGCTTCCCAGAAAACGCTCCACACTATCCTGATTTTCTCCCCTGCCAATTCTGGGAGGTGGATCAGTAAGAAAGCTGGGCATTGGACTCCAGGCCCACAGTCCTGCTGTGAAGGAGTGCCAATCATCCACAGGCTGAACTGGCCCCTTCTGCCCACAAGGTCACACAAAGAACAGCGCTTGTGTCTTAATTTTGTCATCAAATATCAAAACTAAACATTTAAGAAAAAGTGATGAGGATATTAGATGTAGAAACAAAAGTGAAAATAATTTTTTAAAGATTTAAGAATTTTTTTTTTTTTGAAGAACCCACTCTGTACGTTATCTTCGGTTCAGGTGTTTGAATGTTGACTTATGTGACTTTTTCAGTGATGAAACATATCAGAGAGAAACAAGGGTGAAAGAGAAGCCATTAAGATATATAGAGAAGTGCTAATCATCTGAATTTTGCCATGGAGCAAACCAAATGCTTAAAGAAGACTGAAAGAAAATTCAAATTTGTAGGGCTTTTAAATAAATAAGGAGCCATTTCTATACAGGCTAATATGTTTGTTTGTTGTTAGAGCTTTCCCTAAGTCATGGAAGGTAAGAGCAAAGTTCTTGAGGATTTAGGGCAGTTGATTATGAAAAAGTTACAAAAGTAAAGAAAGGTCAAAACCTTTTGGTTAATAATAGATGAAAAGAGACAATTTCTGAAACCATATAAACACTAAAATGGAGAAGCAGTTCAGATTCCACTTTTTTAGGAGACTGTAGCTTTCTAAGAAATGCACAATTTTTCACCATATTTTGAGTCAGTGAGATGTTTGTACTATTTTAAGTTTAATAAAAGTTAAAGAGGGAATTCTGAAATTGTTTGAGAGCCTCTGAAGCAATTCTGGAGAGTCTTATAATATCGTATAGAAACCGCATTTCTCAAACCTTTTAAGTCTATGACAGCATGGCACTGTGCCACCAATATTATACAGCACAACAGGGTGCCTTCTAAAATGCCTCACACACATACTGCAGATATATTTGGACATTTCTGTTAAAATAAGTCAGTTCGTGTTCCCCTGCCATATTATAAAGTTCCCATGAGTTATGCTGTCAAATTTGAGGGACGGTTTCAGAATTCTAAATGAAAATCATGTAGATGTATCCAGTACAGAAGAATAAATGTTTTGGTGACAATATTACCTGCTTTATTGTGGGTAGAAATTGGTTATTGAAGATTTTATATAGCATCAGTGAGAAAATCCTTGTGTCCAAGTGTCCAGTGGTTTATAATGACCAAAAATTTGGTTCACTTTATAGGAAGAAAAATGTATGGCCTAAAAAAATGAGTAAAAGTCCTCATGGATTTTAACCTAGTAGTCAAAGGAAATCAGAATCATTTGAAATATAGTAATATTATCTGTTATAACTTGTCAAATATTAGTCAAATTGTTTTAAAATAATTTTGATTTGTATAAACTTATAAGACAATATAACTTCACTTTGGTAATAGTAACATAAACAATCTAGAAGGATCTAGTTGTTGCAGACTTAGCCAGTTCAGCATTTGCAGAAAGTTTAGATAAGGTAGGCTTAAGCCTACTTTTCCTTTACCTATAAATAAAATTTTGTAAAAGAACAAAATTAATAGAATAATAGAAAAAGTTTATTATGGTTAACAATATACTTTGGAAACATTTCTTTATAATATAATAACAAAGCTATTATAATTAATTAGAGAATTAACTAGAGAAGCTGATTATAAGAATTAAGTATCAGCCACTATTAATGAACTAGAACTAGAATTAGGTGTGTAATTTGGGGTTCTTTTTTTTTATTTTTTATTTTTTTGAGACGGAGTCTTGCTCTGTTGCCCAGGCTGGGGTGCGGTGGCGCAATCTCGGCTCACTGCAAGCTCTACCTCTTGGGCTGGGGTTCTTATTTTTAACCATTAATCCATTAATTCTCAGAAATTATTGGTTGTGCTTATAAAAGATTTTGATAAAACACACAGAAATATGTGTTTTGTAAGGAAGAGTAACGTTTTTCCATTTTATAGCAAAATAAAATGAGATAGCGATTACATGATCTAAAAAGGTAAAAAAAAAAAAAAAGGAAGTCACTGTCAGAATAGAAATGAGAATTGAGAGAATAGTATTTCCTTGGTGCTCATTATTTCAGTAAACATAATGGAAGGCATATCAGGGATTTAGACATGCAAAGAAGAGTAAATATGTTCCCTGCCTATGAACAGCTCACAGTACATCAAAGGAGGCAGGTATCCTACTCAATAGCCACAAAGATGACAGGTACATAAACATCTTCCATACAAAGTGGAAAGTAGTACATGGAATTTGAGTGCTCAGCAACAATATCCTGTCTCATTTTCCAGAGTTAGTAGAAACTGTCATATAATGTATGTCTTCATAATGTCAGACAGGAAGGGAACTCAGCCTTGGCAGTAGAGGGAAAGCTAGAGGGGGCCGGTGCATGCATGGATGGGGGTGGATGAAGGCCCTGTGCATCTAAACAGGTGGAGGGCAATGAAGACACTGAGAAAGTTGAAGAAATAGAGTGGGTGGCAAGATCCAGAGAAATTCTCAAAAAAGTAAGCTGTGTTAGCAGCAGCTTGCATGTCAGTTTCACGGAGTGGTCAGGTTTCAGGGTGTCATTAGTCACTATGCTGTGACTAATACTGCCTCCAAGAGAGAGGCAGCATCTTCTTCAGTCCAGTAGTTCCCTGAGTTGAC
Organism: Homo sapiens; assembly: GCF_000001405.40. Taxonomy (NCBI): domain Eukaryota; kingdom Metazoa; phylum Chordata; class Mammalia; order Primates; family Hominidae; genus Homo; species Homo sapiens. Next base: position 105,838,808 of record NC_000011.10, on the reverse strand, counting down.
TTGCGAGGTAGCAATCCTGCCTCAGGCAGATTAGAGACTCCTTTAAGAGTCAAATGGGTGTCAGCTCTTCTGCATCTGTGTAGCCAATCTAACCAATTTTGTTGGTAGTAAATTGGTTATTGAAGATTTTAATAGCGTCTATGAGAAAAAGCTTGTGTCCAAGAGTTTATAATGGCAGAACATTTTAGTTCAATTTATGGAAAGAAAGATTTGTTGCTTAAAAAATAAATAAAAGTCCTCAGGGATTTTAACCTACTAACCAAAGGAAATAAGAGCAATTTCAAATATAGTAATATTATCTGGAATAACTTTTCAAATGTTGGCCAAATTGTTTTAAAACATATAATTTGATACAATTTCCTTATATCATTCTGCAGGATCAGAGGCAGAACTCTGCAGTAAGGCATTTACCTGGGAGCCATGAGAGTATAATGTATGTAACTATAAAGTAGTGGGCTGGTTCTGCAAGCCCCACAGCAGAAGAAACTCCATTACTCTATACAGAATGAAATAAAACACACATGCTACATCATTGTGTAGAAAAAGACTGATGTTACCGCTTAATTTGCAGACATGGAATTTCCAGGTTTTAATTTAAAACAAAACATTATTTTAACTCACACAAAGAGAAGCACAGTTATTTGATTAGGTGACTTTATCTTTATTAGAAAATAATGCTAGTGTTAAATAATTCTTTTTTTACCTTTATCTTCTTTTATTGAGCATTGTAACCAGCTTTTTATCAGTTTTATTTTAATGATCAAAACCTTAGTATAAATCTAAAAATTGCCAAAAATAGGTCAATAGTTTTGAAACCAATCTAAATAAAGTGTCTTCAAATAAGAGGAGCAGAGTGGGTGTTATCTCTTTCGTCCCATTAGGAGTGTATTGGAAAGATAAGTGTAATGGAAATAGAATTCCTTATTTTGTCATGTTTCCTCACCTAGCACTACAAGACACAATAATAGCTCTTATTTGGTAACTGTAACATGCCAATACTCATATTTTCAATATTTTTGTCTTAATTGATAAAAACAATAAATATAATAATAGAATTTTTAAAATCATGGAAAATTCAGGAATTCTTGATTTAAAAAATTCTTCACACTGAGAGAAGTTACTTTATAGTAGTATGAAATAACCTCATTAAATCCTCATTGAGTTCCACACGGTGTTTCTCCTTTGCCTTCTGATTTCCAAATCTACTCTCCCCCTTCCTGTACTAATCTCACCTTCAGCAGTTGGCCTTATTGTTCCACTTCACTGAGAAAATGAAGAACATCTGGAAAGATCTACCTCCTTTATCTGCAGCACCATGGAACACTTAAATCTACACTGTGCTCCTTATTCTTTCTTCAGTAATGAAGGGACCAGGTATGCTTCCTTTTTTTCCAATGTCATTGACTCCAGCTGTGGTCTTGGATCCAGCATGTAAAGACTCATAGTGGTTCTAAGATATAGTGGGTACATTCTCACTAATGAGGAAGCACTAATTTTAACTCTTGAACCATCCTACTGTGATATGGTTTGGCTGTGTCCTCACCCAAATCTCATCTCGAATTGTAATCCCCATAATCTCCACTTGTCGAAGGAGGGACCAGGTGGGAAGTGATTGGATCATGGGGGTGGTTTCCCTCATGCTGTTCTTGTCATAGTGAGTAAGTTCTAATGAGATCTGATGGTTTTATAAGTGTTTGACAGTTCCTCCTTCACGAATGCTCCTCTCTCTTGCCCGCCATTATGTAAGATGTGCCTCTTCCCCTTCTGCCATGATTGTAAGTTTCCTGAGGCCTCCCCAGCCATGCAGAGCTGTGAGTCAATCAAACCTCTTCCTTTATAAATTACTCAGTCTTGGGTATTTCTTTATAGCAGTGTGAGAATGGACTAATACATGCTGCTAGGTCAAGACTACTATAAAAATGTTGATTGGGTTATCATACACATAAAATATAAAATCAAAGCCATCAGTATTAGAAGAAATATACACACATATAGTAAATTCATCCCTGCACAATATCATTTAAGACTATTTCTCAAAGTGTGGCTTTTAAATCATCCACATCAGAATCACCTAGTGTGCTTGTTAAAAAGAACAGTTCTGGGCTCTATACCAGATTTATTGAATCAGAAACTTTGGTTGTGGGACTTACAAGCTCTGCATGTGATTAGTGTGGAAAATAAAGTTTGAGAATTCACTTAATATGATGGTACAGATAGTATTATCTACAAGTGTGCTGAGGTTGAAGCCTAAGGGGAGGAAAGTGTACATAAGAGAAGGAAGAATGCCTGTCCAGGCAGGGACAAAAAGAATATACAGAGGGCAGATGGCATGATGGTGAGGATTAGAGCTCCACCTATCAGGTAGGCTATGCTCCTCATATTACTGTATCGCTTCATGATTATTCTCAGTGGAATGGCTAAAACCTTCAAGTAAGCCACCTCAAAATGAAAGCTTCTCTATGGATAGCCTTCACATTGAAATTAAATTACGTGGTGCCAATATTATTTCCCTCCTTTTGCCCCCTGAGCAAGATAAGTGAGTCAAATAGAGCAAGTCAGCACCCAGTACTTTCTTGTTTTTTATCTTCCTGTTCTATGATTGGGGTCTGATGGGAGAAGGGAGAAAGGAATACAAGATAATTGAAGATCCCCATGCTTCTATGACTATTTTCTTTCCTTTTTCTAAGAGCCTATTTCTACCAGCTTAGGGGCCTTAACTCTTTACTGGAGAAAAGCTAAGGAAGCAATTACTGAACTGAAATTTTATTAATTCACAATATATTTTTGTTATTACTTTTATCTCCTCCTTCTCCATGATGTTCCAAATCTTCTTTTATTGGCTTTTGGCTTTTATCCTCAAACATTGTAAGACCCTTCATCATGATAAACTTTTTTTCTTTCTTTTTCTTATCCAATTAATTATTGTCTTATTTTCTCCTTTTTTAAGCCAGATTTCTCAAATGACTAGTATATATCTGCTAGTTGATTCATTTTCTTGTGACCCACTTTATTTCTAGCTCTCCATTTTAATGACATCACTCTCTTAACTATCACCAGAGGTTTCTCTGCTTTTTCAAAAGACTTTCACTCTTTTTCATGTTGATTAAAAGCCATGAAAAATAATGTAGTTTAATAAGTATCACCTGCGAATCCTCCTAGCCAAATTGCTAATGAATCACAAATTTTAGTGAGATAATCATTTAATAAAAATCCATGGCTTTAAATGATAAAAAGAAAAAGAAAGAAAACACACACACACACAAAATCCATGGCTTTGCAGATCTTAGGTGTACATGGCTGTATTTCAATACCATTTGATTATGCCTACTGTTGCATTCACAGCTTAATTTGTTATTTGTTATAATATAGGCTAAGAAAGAAAACCATGGTATGGTATTGTTTAAATATAAATCATATCACATCTAGCTGTCTTTTCACAGATTTCGACCTTTGTATAATTTATAATATCATATAAATGTATTAGTAAAGACTATGCCATTCAATGGTTGTACCACTCACGTATAAGTCAAATTTTGTGCAACTGATCATAGAATATTTTAACTGATGAAGAAAATCTCTACTTACAAGTTGGCAATATAATTAATTTTTTCTTTCTACTGTTTCAATTTTTAAATAATTAAGTATAAAATTTAATAGTAACATTAAATAAAATATTGAAATAAATTATTGAATAAGTAACAAGAAACACAGAATAAAGAATAACATATTTCAGCTCTTTGGGAATTTCAACTTAATATTCACATTTCTCAAAAGTAGGGCTTACTTTGTATTTATAACAAAATATAAGAAATCAAAAATCTTACTTATTCCCTGATCTTATACATATATTGATTGAAACTCTTGAATCAAATACACTATACTAATGAACTATATTTACTAGGGTGATGTTAAAATTTATTGAAGACTATTTGCAGCAGGCTGACATTTAAAGAGTCAGCCTAAATAGGTTTTCTCTTTGTTAGTACATCAACTTGCTGCAGGCATGCTCTAGGCCTAGATGTCTGCTCGAACCCACAGGGAACTGAACTTATTGGCTCATGCCACACAGCATGGTAGCAAAAAAAAAAAAAAAAAAGTCTTTTTGTAGCAGGACAGTAATACTTACATCTGAAACCTTCTTTAAATAACTCTATGTTTCATTGCATATTTCTGGTGAAAGCCACATTTTCCATAACTTCTTTGATTCACTTAAGACCTTTTCTGTCCTCTTATCCTTAAAATGCCAGTATGCTTCCCACAGAGAATGCTAGCATGGTTCTCCAAAAACACACTTAATTAGTGGAGTCAAAATGTAGCAGCATGCTGCCAAGTGACACTCTGTTTAGTGAGGCTGTACTCATGTAATGTGTGGGCTGATTTTAGCATGGAATTTAGCTTTGTAATGCATGGGGACAGATGTATGAGTGGCATGCAATAATTTGGGATCCAAGTCCTATATGTCCTTAAATGCTTTTCATTGAGTTTCTATTATACTTGCACAGGTTAATTTACCATATTAATACTCATTATCTTGAGTAATTTTGACATTAAAAAGAGATGAAAGGATTGAGATATGGAGTAGGGATATCTTCTTTATGTATCTCTATGTATTTTAGTGTGGAGACATAAAGAGAACAACTTCTGGAACTGTGTCAGCTCCTCTGTCAATTCTCTCATTTTATCTAATTACAACTTATTCTTAGATGTCCCTGGCACCACATAATTTTGTGTGTTTCTAAAGTCATGGCAATTAACACATTTTACAACAACTATCCTTTCATTGACTGTCTTGACATAATCCAAATAATCAGTAAATGAATTAAAATAAAATATTCTGGAATGGAAAGGCATAGTAAAATGATTGTAGGTGAACATTACTTTCATTAAAATAAACAGTTGAGACTCAGCCAGAAACTATGACTAGAGAAAAACAATATGAATATAACATATATTGAACATGTAGAAATAATAAGGTAACAGGACTGGAATATGGTTGTGGATAGGTAGGAGAACATGTAAGGGCTCTCTATTTCACACTTTTGACAGCACATAGCCAATCTGCACTTTAAAAAATAGAAACATGTAGTTAAGACTAAAACAAAAGCAACTATAATGACTCTGGCCTCTTAGTATTATTTACAGTTTTCTTTCCTTAATATTAGAGGACTCTTGTGGGAAATATATTTTGTTGGAATTTATTTGAAGTTCATCAGTTGCTTAACCCTTTGTTCCAGTTTCCTTTACTTCTAATAAATTCAGGTAGAATACTTATTTATTTTATATATAAAAATAGCATTATTTTTTGAACTCACTTTTGCAAAATTATTTCCATCCTACCATCTGTATCTGTCTGTATCTATATCTATATCATCTATAGATCTTCCATTATATTTGTACAGATTGGTTTATCAGGTTAATAATTATGTTGAATAATTTAGATGTTACAAAGAAATGGAAGGACTGAGATATAGCATAAGAATATGTTTATATATACATGTGTACGTATGAGAGAGATGGAGGGAGACAGGTGAAATAATGTTCATCAAATATTAGCACTGGTTATTTTTGGATAATAACCCTATCGTAACCCAAGAAACTTATATGGTTTCTCACACCTAATAAGCATCCAGTAAAGATCTGTTGTATGCGTGACAAGAAAGGAAAACTGCATAGAAATACAGCGTGAAGAAGTGGAAGCTCTCAGAATAAAATTCTGATAAGGGAGTGCTGAAAAAGGGGTTTGCCAAAAGACGTGGGAATTTGAAGGAAACAGTAATGATAAATTATAAAAAAAGATGATTTACAGTCACATAAATTTGGGATTTAAAAGATAACGAGAGCTGTTTCTACCAATAAAAAAGCATGTTAAATTTCATACTTGTAAGATTTGTTCAATAGCATTACTCAAGGCAGAGATCACCAATTACCTTTCTTCATTGTTTGAGAAAAAAATAACCTATATTCTGAAAGCCGTACACCAGAAAGAGAAGGAGTGGAATACAGTCACTAAAAATGCCGAAGGACAATGTCAGCCACCCTTGAGTCCCAGCTTCTGCCACATCTTCTCTGCTAAGGCTGATAACTGTAAGACAGAAAACTCCTAATTTAGATAACACAGGTATCTCCATGGACAAATGAAAAGCAAGGACTTGATCTTTAATATAGTTGAGCGGCTCAGTGGAAACAGAACTGAATTGGGAGTCGGAGGACAGTTCCACTCTGGAATAATCACTTCTCTCGGCTTCAGTTTGCTCATCTGTAAAATGAAGATACTAATACCAGCCCTGCGTACTTCAGAGGGTTGCAGCAGAGAACAAATTAGATAAAGTAAGTGAACATGCTCTGTAAACTGTAAAGCACTACACAAGGCAAACTTATCATTATTTAAAGTCATCCTAGATGCTCCACAGCAGGGAGAAAGTGAGAAGGAAAAAGCAGCTTTTCCATTCATTAACACCTTGTCTCTGGGAGACCCTCAGAGAGCTTGTGTAAAGACAGTAATAGAAAGTTAATCACCCTGTGTTAAGCAGACATCTTTGCATTCATTTTAAGGAAATGGCTTTTACTGCTCTGTCTCATTCCAGCAGATATATGTCAAGTTGCTGTGGCTTTCTGACTGCTCTTTCTCAGAATGCTCTACTGGATCTCACTTTTCGGTTGCATACATTGCAGGGTTATTGTTTCAGGCTCTTCTTCCCAAACCTGTTTTACTTTGATGATTTCATTGATTCCCCGGCCTTACTGAGCTCCAAATCAACATTTCCTACTATCCATCGCATACCTAAGTCTGGAAGTTGCACAGGCCCCTCCAATCCAGCATGTCCAAGGTGGAATTCACTGTCTTCTCTGCTACGCTTACTTCTCCTGGGTTTTACATTGCTATTTACTCAGTGTCCCCATTTAGAAAGTACAGAGCCAGGGATATGGTGGATGTTTTTGCACTGCACAACTCTGAAGGGTGTCATTCATACGATGGCGTCTTAGAATGAAGCCAATGCTATGCGGAGCATAACCTGCAGAGCTGAGCATTGCAACCCTCCCAAAAGCTCCACCACTTGCTCCCCTATCTCAATGGTTGCTCATTCCTTGATTTCCTACAATAGAGAAGAGTCTGTGGACAATCCACAATTTATCAGAGGCACTCGCTTTAATACCCACGACACTTTATAATGTTTCTCCCTTTACGTGATGAGTATGGGGACAATATTCTGAGCATGAATTGTTATGTATGAATATTGTAACACAGGAAGGATTTTTGTATTCATTTTAAATGCACATTTTAACACTGCATACAAATGAGTGTTGTGTGTGTATTTAGTAAGGCATCTCCAAAGATAGCCCCCAACAGTGTCCTTTTCCCGTATGCTCATGCTATTCCTGATGTCATGAGATGGAGCTTATTTCCTTTCCCCTTAATCTGCACTGGCCTTGTGACTAGTCTTGACCAATGACATGGAGCTAAGAGAGATGCAATTGAAGATTTGCTAAGTGCTTGCACACTGGAACTTATCCTTTGAAACACTCCTTCTTGGAACGTACATGTCATGCTTTAAGAAAGCCACAAGGAGGAGAAAAAAGGAATATTGGTTAATAGACCCAGTGGAGATACCAGCTGAGAGCTGATACCAACTTGCCAGGCATATGAATGAACCATCTTGGACATTCTATCCCAGTCAAGTACCCAAATGAGTATAGACCCAGCCATCATCACAGGAGCAGAACTACTCAGCTGAGTCAAGTCATCACAAAAAGTCATTAGAAATAATAAATGCTTTTTAAAGTTACCACATTTGGCATGGTTGATAGATAAATAAAAAATGTGTGTGTGTGTGTGTGTGCGTGTGTGTATAATTCACCTCTCTTAGGAGTCTAAGATAAAGACAGATAAGATCACTAGCTAAAAGTGACATGTACACTTTTGGTTGAAATGGTTTTCAAAATAATTCTCTGCAATATTCAGCAAAACTACCTGTTAAGGCAGTGAGAGAAATAATAGAAAAGTTGAAAGGAAGGCCACAGAGATGAGTCAAACAGGCCCTTTGCCTGGGTGGAGAATAGGTCTCTTAAGCCAGGCTTCTGCCTATCCTTTTATGTGTTATGCCTATGTCCAATTGAGTAGATAAAACTGCAAGTGAGGAATAGAATCCATGACTGAGAAGCTTCAAACATTTCTTCCACTTTGAAATTTCATAAGTAGACCACCTACTATCTGCTCACTTGTGTATAAGACCAGAAAACCTGCTGAGATCTAGCTTATCATCTACATGGCTAGTGCCATCATCAACTCTATAGGGGCTATGAGCCAGCCAGCAGAGAAAAGTCTGTCTTTCTCCTCCCAAGTCTTCATCTTAAGTGGAGCCTCCAGGTTCTACATAAATAGCCTAGAGACAAAATATTCTGTATTTGAATAAACTTTAATAAATTTTAGTTGGCATTTTGAAATCCAAGTCCAGCACAATTCCCACGTCCACTTTCACTATTTTAGTTCATATCCTCATCATCTTTGAGACCAAGCCACTGCACTAGTTTCCCAAATAGTCACCCTGTCCATGGTTCCTATTTTATTCCATCAATAATCCATAATGCTACCAGTGATATTTCTAAAACACAAGTCTGTCACCTCACTGCCCATTTAGAAAACTTACTAGTGAAATTTTCAGCATACAGAATGGCGTAATTGTCAAGAGCACTGGAAGATCTTTGATGTTAAGCTAAGGGGTTTGAGTTTCATGCAGCAGGCAATAGAGAATCAAAGTAGTATTTTGAAAATGTCCTTTCAGTCCTTTCAGTATCAGATTTATGAACTGCTTAGATTTTAGCCAGGTCTATCAGTCTGTTAGTTTTGTTTTATAGTGATCAAAATAATTTTCTGCAGGCTTCTATTTTTATACTTTTCCAGCTCTCTTCTGCACATTTTCTCTTTCTCCAATTCACATTCATTCACATGCCTCCCCAACTCAGCCCTCCCTATGCCTGTCTTTCCTTGAGTCTATAATTTTAAACTTATATATGGATAAAATAGCTTTCTGCTTCTCTCTCTTCAATTTCTATCATCTACAGAAAGTGGAACCAGTCCCAATGGATTACATGCATTTCTCCCTTTCTGCAAACTTCTCCCCAAACAGACACCAGCACCTCTGTTAGTATATGTCGACATAGTGTGGAGGAATATGTCTTCTTATAGCTAGGCCACTTTAAGTGGTCCCTCGGGCACTAGGACTAACTCTCTGTGGGTAGTTGATCATGTTTCAATTTAAACTGCCTGGCAAAGTCCCTTCACTTTTCACAAACACAATTGCGATGGCTGTTCCTGGAAGCTAGCAGTCCTTGCCACTTTTGTCACTGGCAGGTAAGGGTGGTAATTAAAATCATTCCACAGCCATCCGCTGAAGTCTCCTCAATTTGTGGCAGACTGGCTGAGTAAGAAGATGAAACATGAGGAGATACTTCTTTTCTTGACTCCATGTAACTCCTGCTAAAGAGCTAGTCAGTGATCTTGCATTGTCAGGAAGTTGGGGTGTCAGCTCAGAAGGGACTTGATGTTTCAGTTCCTCATTTTAGACATATCCTCAGTTCAAGGCTCTCTGCCTTACTGATTAGATGGTCTTCTGCAAATTACTAAGTCTTAATGAGCCTCATTATTCCTATCTGTAAAAGGGTTATAATAGGAACTGCTGAGAATTAGAGATTATCAGTCTATTTGTGTGTGTGTGTATACATCACTGGATATAGCACACAATAAATAGCAGCTGTTATTGTTAGATGATTCTATAAACAACCCCTTTGCCTGTTGCAAGTCTGTCTGGGAATACTGGGAACTCTATCTCTCCTCTCTATTTTCAAGTTTTTAATTTTTAATATCAGCAAGCCATTCTTTCTGGTAAGGCTGAAAATTGTCTCTGAATATTTGGAGTGCTTCAAGTAGCTGAACATAGGAAACTCATGTCAAAAGTTATATCTTGGGACACCCCATGGAATAAGAAGTAGTCCTCAAAGATATAAGGCTATGAGGATTTCAGTTAACCCATTTCCCAGTAATTGTATTACTGCCTCCTGAAAATTTTGTTACACCATGTATGGAAAATCAAATCACAGGCCTCACAAAGAGTGAAAGTCTGAAAGCCTCATACTCTTTTTTTTTTTTTTATGAAAACATTGAGATTTATTTCACCAGTCTTTCATCTTCTAGAAAGTCTCCTGACTGGCAAAATGTCATGTTTAAATCTGTCCTCATTTTGCATTGTGACTAAGTGCAAACTTTCCAAAGTATAATTTTCATCCATGTTGGCAGCCTCAGATAATACCCTGTATTAGCTGTCTCAGGTAGGAACCGCCAGTGCTGCCTAGGTAGCATTTCCAACATATGAAATTATCTGGATACATACCACATACAGGGGTAGTGATGGTTAATGTGCCAACTACGGTTTCTACTGCATCATAAGAAATGCATGCTTGGCTATGTCATTTGTTCACCTTTAAATGTCTTTCCGGGTTCATTCTGAGCACAGCAGCTTTTATACAGAATAAAACAGTCTTGGAGGTTTTATTTTCCCTCTACAAACGCCCAGAGGCTCTAGTTCAGTTAAGAAACAAATTAAATTTTGTGAAAGAGAAACAGTAATATGTTTGAAATATCCAGAGCTGTTCCCCTTCAGCTGCATTTAAAAATGACTAAACTGATTTAATTCACATTGTGATGTCAATTGTCAGATTGGAATAAGATCTTGTGGACCTATCTTTAATGACTAAAAATAGCATGGCAATAAAAATTCTACTGAAAAAACTGCCCTGTTCCCACTGATAGTATCTTAACAAAGCATTACATATAAAAAGTGCTTGCCACATGGTTTTTAAATATTGTGCACTAAAATTCTACTTTATACCAGAAACATGTCAAGTGTTTGGCAGAATCTGCTTAATTATTTTATCCTTGAATACATAAAAAGCAAATTTAGTTGATAGTCTATTGACTTAACCAGAAGTTGTTGATTTAAAAATATTTATATAGTATAATAAAATGTAAGGAGACTTAATAAATGCATATTTTCCCTATTTGGTATCCCCATTAATTTCTCTTCTGTTCTTTTGGTGATGAAATCATAAAATAATCAGCAGTTATACTGCATAGCTCTATTTCTTCTCTAGCTCTGCAGCACTGATGAATGGAAGAAAATTTTGACAGTTTTTTTTAGATCTCATTATCTTTTCCTTTTATGAATGACGGTGGTACCAGAATATCCACACCATTCTCTTTTCTATCATCCTCTGACTGTAAAATAAAATTATAGAACATTTTAGTAAACCTCTGAAATGAAGAAGATTTATTTTAAGATAAGTTTATTTAACATGAGAAAATTTTTTGAAATAGAAATTCAACTTCAGGTTATTCCTTCAATTTACTGTTTTTTTTCTTCTAAATATTTTCTATTCTGCTTAATAGTAATGAATCAGCAACATAATTTAAAAATCTCCACTAAAGTAATGTCACTGATTTGATATTGTATCATATATAACAAATATTATTTTACTATGACAATATTTTCTTGATTCTTAGTCTGAATAAATACTTTTGGAAACTGCTGATTTGAAGTAGAAACTATGGAATTACCCAAGCGTGGAAATCATTTTCACTTTATGATTTAGAGCAGGAGCCAGGATAACTTGTTAGCTTGTCAGTAGTGTAAAGTCTGAGATCCATCACAGTTCTTGACAATTTGGCAATGCACCTGGAACAGTGAGTGGTAGGACTTTCTGGATGAGGAAGGATGAAGGTCTCACAAGCTGATTAATAGAATTTGGAAAAAAATCCATAGGTATCAATAACAAAGATGTTGACTAACCTATATGTCAACCAGGTTATACAAGGTTCTCCACTTTATTGCCTATTAATGAGAAGGAACTGGGGTGGTGGTTGCTGACCAAAGAATAGGAAATAGGGTCAAAGACAGCTGCCGATATAGTGCCCTAGCTGTTAACTCTGTTTCGCACAGGAGACTTCCTTGACAATTTGGATGTTCGTAGACCCAACTGTTAAAAGTATTATGAAGATTCACTCTGTGTAGGCAGAGGTTTTTCCCTATCAGAAAACAGTTCCAGAATCGCAAACCCTCGCTGAGTGAGAAAGGCGAGAAATATGTGACTTCCGAAACCAAATCAATTTTAAGAACTTAGTCTGATTTGCTTGGAAAATGAGAGAAGCATGCAATTCTTGTTAAAGGTGAATGTCAAGAGCAAGGCCATCTAAAGGCTCAGCTTCTCCTGCAATCTATCATGACAAACCTGGATCCATTCAGAGAAGACAATAAAATATCTAAGAATATTTTTGCAGTGAATATTGGCTGCTGTATGGAAGCTTTGTCCCTCTTGGATAGATGTCCCTAAGACAGACAAGCTCCAGTTGGAAACCATAGATGAGGCATTGACTAGTTGTCAGGCTCTTACTGCCCTGGATTTGGCTTGTAATCAGATGCAGGTGTCCCATGGGGAATGAGAAACTGACCCAAAGAAGTCTACAAGTCTAGTGGCTGCATAGATTGAAATGAAAAGTGAGAGCAATGCCTTGTTTTCATGGCATAGAACCCCTTTCTCCCTGCAACCTCTCTCTCCCCACTCCATATCCCCTCCATCCCATGCTACCCCAATTTCAGCTGCTTTAAGGAAAAAGATGTTTAGGGGCAGGGCTGAGGCCAGCTTGTCCTCAAGGGGAACTGAAGGTTATACACACACGTCTGAGTATGCTGGGGAGGCAAGGGAATCAAATGTTTAAGGCTTTGTTGGATACGGGGCCCACCAGCCCATCTGGTCCTGCTTAGGAGAGGGGACATCCAAATTCAACTATGGGGTTTGGATGGAATTCACCATGGAAAGGGAAGCTAAAGTGGTGCTGTGAGTCAATTTCTTTGGGAGAATTTAATGTACTATTTTTGCAGCTTCCACGCAGAATATATAATTGGTATTGTATGCCTGTACTAGGAATGTTCATAAATATCATAAGGGATCTCCCAATTCAAAAGAGCCACAAATAGAGAGGTGTTAGTACCTTTAGTGTCTCACAAACCTAACGACCCCTTGAGCTAAATGACTGTGACTGATGATTTTTACCAATTGGATCCTCTGGCAAAAGGAGACAGCCTTCACCCAGAGGCACCCCTAAGGGGTTTGGAGATCTTTGTCTCTTAGATGCAGATACCAGGTACATGCTCTTGTAAATTACTGTATTCTTGCTGAAACTGAATATCTGAGGCATAGAAGCCTTGTGGCTGGCCTAATGTCTCTATTTTGGGGTAAGTCAACTTGGACTCAATTGTGTTAAAAGGTGGAAAAGACAAGCAAGCCTCAATTGTTGGATAGAAATGTTTATTCAAGAACGTAGCTGGCCTGAACCCAGCAGCATCTGAGCTTTAGGTAAAAAGGAGGCACTCTATTGCCTGAACCACATTGCTGGCTTAGCAGTTCCCATAAATGCCTAGGCCTGGTTCAATAATAGTTCAGCTGGGCTGAAACCCAGTGATGTCCCCTGGACTGCTGCAGCTGTACATATGAAGTGCCAGTCATGCAAAATCAAAAATGAATGTGGCCACTTGGCTCAGTGGGCAGAACTCAAGGCTGTTCTCATAGTCTTGGCCAATATTCCCCTTGATAAATCTTGTTATAATTTTACTGATTCTTGGGTGATTTCCATTGGCCTAGCTTTTTGGTTCGACACTTGGAAAACTACAGACTGGAAGAGTAATGTTATCCATCTTTGAGACCATAAATAGGGTAAACAAACTGTGGCTGTTGATTGAAGTGTCTGAGTCGTTCACTGACCTCAGTGACTAACAATGGAGAAAAGACCATTCTCTGATGAGACTGACTGGAATCAAAGTCTGATCAAGCCTGTACCTCCTGGATGGCTACCGTTGCTCCCTAGAGGCATCATTATACTGGCCGTGGCAACACATCTGCCATCTTATACCAGGCACAAAATAAAAAGCCTTAAGTATCTCCGGCTGTAGATTATGTACCCCACAGATGATTGTGGAGATACTTCAAAGATAAGGCTAGCCTTGATTTCTTGCGAGATCTTCCTGGAGGAATAACTGACTTGTTATTTATGCACATTCTGTTTTCAATTAGTAATAATCGTGCTTCAGATAAACCTCACTGGCTATGATACTGCCACTGCGCAAAGCTATTTATGTACATTCTGTGAGGCAATTATTAACTCCAGGGAGAACAACATATGGTACAAATATAATCACGTTGTTCTACATGGCTCAACTATAAATAATATTTAAATAGGCATAGAAATGAGAACACTAAATATTGTGATGCAACGCTATTGTGAATATTGGGGAAGCAACACGTGTAGGTGGGTGTGTTTTGTGATAGTGGAATAAGCTGTTGGGGAGCTACATCTTCATCTTCCATAGTAGGAAGTCAGATATTGTTTAATAAAAAATTAAGAAATAGTATAAAATGCTATTTGAGAATAAAGAAGTATACACCATAAGAAACAACTAAAACAGCTGAAAGTGGTTGCCATTGAGAGTGAGAATTGGGATGAACAGGGGGTGGAACCAGAGGCTGTGGGATGTTCTTAAGCCTAACTGAACTGTTTGACTTTTAAAACTATATGCCTACTGTATTGGTCTGCTAAGGCTGCCATAACAAAACACCACAGCCTGGATGACTTAAACAGCAGAGATTTCTTTTTCACAGTTCCGGAGATTAGAAGTCCAAGATCAGGCTGTCAGCAGGTTTGGTTTCTTCTGGGGCCTCTATCCTTGGCTAGCAGATGGCTGCCTTCTCCCTCCATCCTCACATGGTCTCTCCTTTGTGCACATGCACCACTGGTGTCTCTGTATGTCCAAATTCCCTTTGTATAAGGACATCAGTCAAATTGGATTAGGGACCACACTAATGGCTTCATTTTAACTTAATCTTATCTCAAAAGGATCATCTCCAAATACAATTATATTCTGATGTACGGGGGGTTAGGCTTACAACATATGAATTTGGAGGGGGATACAATTCAGCCCATGAAACATGCATTAATAATTAAAAAATCCCGTCTCAAAAACCTCCTTTAGATGTAAACCATGTAGAAGGCAATAATTATCTGGAGCATCAAACTCCATTGTCAGTCCCAATTGCAATATCCATAGATCTTATTATACTTTGTTCATTATGCCAAGACTTAGAAACATTTAATTTTAGATTTATTTATTATGTTTCAGATAAGATAGCAGTAACCACAATATCTTGGGATAATGCCACACCACTCTTTTCATCAGCTGTATCCACTCAATTCTGCAAAATGTCCTTTCCACCACCTGCTTTCTTGGGTTCCCATCAGCAGTTCTTCAAGCCTCTTATCCATGTTTTGTCCCGTTTTCTGTATTTTTTCTTCTCTTTTTGACTTATTACCTTATGTTTTTTTCCACAAGAACCTAACCGCAGAATTCTTGCCTGTTCTTGTAGAAGAAATTGGATGTTTATGACAAGAGAAGAAAAAAAAGAAATCCACCTCTTCGGTCTGTAAATAGTGGCTTCTGTAATTCAAGCTGTGTTCCATAAGTCAGAACTAGCTCTGGTTAAATCCACTGGGAGACATACATGAATCTGCCAACAAATATTGTGATTCCAAATGAAGTTTTGTAAGCAGTGATATGAATCCTGCTTTATCACAATGCATTTGAGAAGATCCTGACAGAAATCCTGAACAAGATTAATGGGGAAATATGAAATGGGATTGAACTAAGAGAGTTAATATATTGCCTGGTACCACTATCATTCTAAAATAGCAGAAAACATTGGAAGAGGCTATAAATACATACTGAAAAGAACTCAGTACTTACAACATGATAGAAGAAGAAATGTTCAGAAGCATCAATTGTATTAAAGACAGCAGAAAGAGTAATAACCAAAAATACATTTACTCAACATTTACACTCTACTCAGTCCTTGCAAATAATTGCCTTGCAAATATTATACACTCCCATAAGAAAATCAATTTTTATTATATACTTTTGTGACATATTAACCCCATCTTCTTTTTCCAGATGGTTTCACTTTCTTAACTGGCATTATACTATTATTATGTTAAGAAGATATTAAAACATACCACAAGGATAATTAAACTCCAATTCACCATACTTTGTTTTAATTACTCAATTACCAAAGCAAAACAAAATTTAAGTAAAATTACATGAACATATAATTGAAGAAGCACATGAACAAATATGGTAAAAGGAAAATTTGGGTTGAAAAATCATTGCATTCCCTGAGCACCCTACCATTGCTCAGACATTATGCCAGACATTATGCTAAGTGTTACAGACATGTAAAGGTAATGAGAACAAATTTCCCTCCTAAGACTTTGCAACCTACTTGGTGACACTGACCTGCATAAGTATAAACATTTATAGTGTGTGTCTGACTTCCTCTCATTTTTCCCCCCTCATAATTCTGTTAAATCAAACTGAAAGAAAACAGAAAGGTCTTGAGTAAAAGAAACTTCACATTCTTTTACTCAAAGAGCCACTCTGATTTCCTCTGGGGTAGGCATTGGGCAGCACTCCTAGCTATATGTCTTTTGCCTGGCATTTAAACTTTATCTTGATTATTATTGCATGCCAGTCATGAAATTATATTTATATTATTTGTCAAGTTCCTCATTACTCTGAAGAAAGATGCTACAGGAGTTTAAATAACCCTACGTCTACAAAGGCACAGCCTGGCTTAAAGCTAAGCATTTCAGTTACACTTATGCTTTAGGTATTAGCATCTCTTTGTAACGCAAATTGTTCTACAGCAAAAGGATTTTCCCGGTTCTGGGAACCTGCGTGGCGAGCGCAGCAGAGTCTAGCTCACCTGCAATGTGCAGTAGTTCTGCTGCATTTTATGGGTACCTCGAAGCAGCAGTGAGATCAGCCTGACTCGGCTTAATATGATAAGTCATGGTTTGTGCCAGTTACTGGCATAATGTGTTAAGTGTGTGTGGGTATTAAGAATTTTTTTAGCATAAATTTTATGGGAAAATTATGAACAAGAAATGAAATTTACAGAATTCAAATTATGAAGAGTCTCTGATATACTTTGGATATTTATCCCTGCCCAAATCTCACGTTGAATTGTAATCCTTACTATTGGAGGTGGGGTCTGGTGGGAGGTGTTTGAGTCATGGGGGTGGATCCCTCATGGCTGGGTGCTGTCTTTGAAATAAGTGAGTTCTCACATGATCTGGTGGTTGTAAAATGTGGCATTTCCTCCCCCGCCCTCTCTCTCTTGCTCCTGCTTCTGCCATGTGAGACACCGGCTCTCCCTTTGCCTTCCACCGTGATTATAAGCTTCCTTAAGCCTCATCAGAAGCCAAGCAGATGCCAGGACTATGCTTCCTGTACAGCCTGTAGAACCATGAGCCAATTAAACATCTTTTCTTTATAAATCACCCAGTTTCAGTTATTTCTTTATAGCAATGCAAGAACGACCTAATACCCCCTCCTACAATTTCTTCAGAGGGAACAATATTGCCAAAATCAAATTGCTTCAATACAATTTTAACTAAATCATTCAGATTTTGATTTTCCTTTGTTTTCCTATATTGTTGTTATTATTTTCTGAAACCATGTTCTAAAGTACAAATTTTGACTTTTACTTTATGAAAATTTAAGCTTTTATCTCACCTTTTTATTGAGTGTTGAAACTGAGTGAGCTCTCAGTTTTGGATGTCTAAACATTCAGTGAAATTTCAAATTGAACAGAAGGTATGAGAGTGAGGAAGAGAGGTCAATGGTACAGTAAATAGAGAACCAATTTAAACACAAAAACAATAACAAAAACTAATAAACGTTCAGGCCTCATATACCATCAGGGAAGTTTTCGCTCTTCTGTTCTTAACAGCCTGCTGACCAATTTTTGGTTTGGAAAATAAGACAAAGATTGCATATGGCATATGTAAATCAGGAAAAGCTACATTTCAGATTGTGGAGTCTAAGTAAAAATTTTAGTGACTTTGTCTGTTGTTCCTTAAAGGGCTATTACATTTCTGACCCTGTCTCTAAAGATCTTAAAATTCAGTGAAATTGACAGAATGCTATAGACTATGAATCACCTACAAACAAAAATTAGAGATAAATGGAATAATAAATAATTAGAGATCAATGGAAATAAACAGAAAAAAAATAATTCTGACAACATAGATGGAAAGCTTGATGGATTTGGAGAATTTCACTTGGCAGTTGAAGAATGAGGATTTTCATGTAGGAAAAATGGCAGAAAATTCATTTCATATGCAAGACTGAGAGAACATTGCATATGAAAACTGCCCAGTGAGATGCCTGGCATGGGGGAGCCGACAAATAAATATATATTTTTTCCCTATGACCAAAGATAAAGAGGGTCCATGACTGGCATGTTTGAGGAAGGGTTATGAAGAGCACGGCTGGAGTGAACAGTGTGCAAAGGAATGATGGAAAGAGACAAGATGTCTCAATAGAAAAAGTTGTGCTTTGAATGCAAAAATGGTTTCCTTTACCTACTAGTTGTGTGATCTTACTCTCTAGGCCTGAGTTTCCTTATCTGTGAAAAGAGGATTATTTCAGTTTCCTAGGGATGTGGAAACAAAGTGCCACAGATTGGGTAGTTTAAAACAACATAAATTTATTGTATCACAATTGTAGGGGCTAGAAGTCTGAAGTCTGCTCCCTCTGAAGGGCCATGCTCCCTCTGAAGCTTGGAGGGTACTCTTGCCCTGCCTCTTCCTAGTTTCTGGTGGTTTTCCCGCAATCTTTGTCATTTTTTGGCTTGGAGTAGTATAACTTCAACCTCTGCCTTTGTGGTGACATGGTGTTCTTCCTGTGTATCTCCATCTTCACATAACCATCTTCTTATAAGGATACTAGTCACACTGGGTTAGAGGCCCACCCTGCTCCAGGATGGCTTCATCTTAACTAATTACATCTTCAATGACTCTACATCCAAATAAGTTCATGTTCTGAGGTAATGAGGGTGAGAATTTCAACATATCATTTTTTAGATGAACACAGTTCAATGCATATCAGAGATAATAGTAATACCTATTTATTTCATTGTGTTGCTGAGAGATTTAAATATAATAATGTGTGATAATGTATACATGTTATAAAGTAAGACTTTTCATGCAATTTTATCTACCCTTACCCCCTACCCAGGAGCGTTTCATGTGCCTATCACCCCTCAGAGAGTAGAGAAACTCCCACAAATGTTATATTTGAACTATGGATATGAAATATAAGTATTCTTTAACTGAATTTTTGGTACACTGTCAACGATACCTAAGATTGTATTTTTCAGTAAGAAAGTATAATTTTCTGATTGCTTGTAAAGATGCAATTAATGGGAGTTAAAATTAATTGAGTGCATGTTATGTGCTGAGTACTGTTATGAGTGATTTATGAGAATTAATTGTCACCAAAATAGGCTCATGATCATTTTTATTTTACAGATGAGGAAATGGAGGTACAGAGATATTAACTGCCTTACACAAGGTCATAAAAATAGTAAGAGTTAGAGCCAGGATCCAAAATCAGATAGTATGGTATTAGACCACAGGTTCTGAGATTCTTCCCTGTATGTCTTTCAATCAGAGCATGCACATAAATAAGTAAAGAGCCATTTCTACTTTTCCACCTTTAGTTGCCCTAGTTCTTGAAATCATAAATGTTTCACCATGCCTCAAAGGACAAATTATATACTAAAATAAACTGACAGTGTCCAAACCCAAATGGCTGCTTTTTCAGTCCTTAATCCATGTACCTTAGAAAGATGAAGAGAAAAATTGTTTTCCATTGTCCTGATTTCCTTGTATAAAAGGTGTGGTCATGAAATTTAACCTAATTAACGTAGCTTGACTTTGTTACACATGCATAAAAATTAAATTAAAAACAAGGGATTAGTTAAGTTTCAAAACATATGACTTCTAAAATCCCATATCAAACTGCTAGCAATTTTCAGAGGCCTATATTAAATGGATGTCAGCATCATGGAGTAAAGGTTACTTATATCTGGCTATTAGCTCAAGCCCTTCTGTGCCTGCCTTTTCTGTCCTATTCCTTGCCCTTTGGCCATTTGGTTCCCATTATGCCCTCTCCAGTGCACAGGAAGGGAAGATGTCAGTATGTGAAAGTTGTATTTGTCATGTAATTGCTCTAGGCAGGCATTTTATGCTCTAAGGTGACAAAAGCTTTATTTAGAGGATGTTTGTGAACATTCTGGGAATGCTATCCATCTGAATTATCTCTGTTGCTATTATTATATGTAATAAAATATTAATTGAATAGTTGGAGAAAAATAACATAGTAAGCAAGCAAGATGAAGATTCGTTCTTTACCTGTGAGTATTAGTGGTTATAATGGATGGAATTGTGACCAGCCAGGCATGCAGGTTATTTTGCTGTGCAGTAGGTTACCCAGGCCACTCTCTGAATGTAAAAACAAACGTATCAGTGAGGTAGCATTCATCTCTTCCCTGAGTAACAGACCTGCACTTCCAACAGTCTGTGGGACATTTGCATATGAGGGTGGCACAGGCAAGTTCTAGCTCATTAGTCTTCAAACCAAACATCACCTTTTTCTAACCAACACTTGGGACTCAATTTATGCATTCTGGGGATCTCCTGTGCCTGTCTTCTCTTCTATACCTGTAATTTGCTATCTAATCCTTGAAAACTCTTTACCTATTTTATTTTGGTCACTTTTTATGACCCATGCTGTATTTTTAGCAATGTTCATTCTCCTTTGTCTTTCTAATTCCACATTTATTTCCATTTATTTTTCTTCTTACACTACTTTCCTGAGCTCTATTCTACAGCATTTTTATCTCTGCTCTGTGTTCTTGCTTTGTGTAGGTGCTTGCTTCAGTAAATTAAAATGATTGCCATATTTTCCACTGGATTTAATTTCTGATGCATGTCCTTTGGCTGTTTTTCATCGTGCTTACAGATTCCTATGTTGTAATAATATGGTTCTGCACGTACACTGATCTTCACTACTAGAAATATCTTCCTTTTGTTACTATGTAAGATTAATTAGAAGGCACAAGTAGGCAAGAAATACTCTCTATATATAATGTACGATATTCTGTAATGTATTCAAAATATAAATCTTACAAGAATCTACTGAATTTACAGAAAATATTGGTAATTATTTTGAAATGGAATTTATCCTATCATTTATAACTATCACTATGAGATTTAATGAAAATTTAAAGTGTCCTCTTTACATGACAATGTTTGGAAATGTATGATACACCTGACACATCTTGCTCTAGTTGTAAAGGAATGAATAGAAAAAAAAATTTAAAAACTATTACTTTACTCTGGCCACAACACTGAGCTAGTTTTCAGATTTATTACTATAAAGCACCCAAATGTTGTATCAATGCTATATGAATGCAGATGTGTAAACACCACAATAAGTTTTTTCACTGCTCTAGTCATAAGCCATGGTCCATACTAGATACTCAAAAATTCTTAATTCCCCTTTCATGTTATCTTATAACTAGAATGTTGCTTTTGTGATAATTCACTACTATTTCACTGAGTAAGTTTGAGAAAAATGATGATTTACCAACATTTCATTTAATCTCCATGGCACACTAACAAGATAGATACTATCAATATTTCCCCATTAAAGATGAGGAAATTGCAGCTTTGAGAGGATAAGCAACTTGCCTAATACAACAAAGCTAGTAAGTGAAGAGGCTGGGATTCAAACCCCAGCAGTTGGATTTCAGAACCTGAGTTAGTTTGTTTTTAAAGAGACAGGGTTTCACTCTGTTTCACTTGTTACCCAGGCTGGAATTCAGTAGCACAATCATAGCTCACTGCAGGCTTGAAATCCTGGGCTCAAACAGTCCTCCCTTCTCAGCCTTCCTCCTGAGTATCTAGGACTATGGGCATGCACCACCATCCAGGCTAATTTTTTATTTTTATTTTTTGTAGACATGGGGTCTCACTAAGTTGCCCAGGCTGGTCTCAGTTTCCTGGCCTCAAGTGATTCTCCTGCTTCGGCCTCCCAACTTGCTGGGATTATAGGTGTGGCCACTGCACCCAGACAGAGCCTGAGCTTTTAACCACTATACTCTGCTACTGATGGAAATAATCTATTATAATATGTAAGACACTATGAGACATCATGTATTAGGCCATTGTTGCATTGCTATTAAGAAATATCTGAGACTGGGTAATTTATAAGAAAAGACGTTTATTTGGTTCATGGTTCTGCAGGCTGTACAGAAAGCATCTGCTTCTGGGGAGGCCTCTAGAAGCTTACAATCATAGCAGAAGGTGAAACAGGAGTTTGCACATTACATGGTGAAAGCAGGAGCAAGAGACCGAGGGGTGAGGTAGTACACACTTTTAAACAAACAGATCTCATGAGAACTCACTCACTATCATGAGAACAGGATCAAGAGGGATGGTGGTAAACCATTCATGAGAAATCTACTCCCATGATCCAATTATCTCCCACTAGGCCCTACCTCCAACAGTGGGAATTACATTTCACTATGAGATTTGGGCAAGGACACATATCCAAACTATATCACAACACACCTGTATTAATACTATTTTTAAATACAAACAACTTTACAGGATAGGTAATATTTTCCTGACGAGAAGGCCAATGCACAGAGAAGTGAAGTGCCTGGCCCAAGATCGATAGACCTAGGACGTGTGGGCAGAGATCTGGGAATAGGAAATCCAAAGCCCATATGTTCTTATTATACTGTGCTGCCTCTTGTTACGTCATGCTATCTCACGTGCATGCAGAGTGTGAGTTGGGGTCAAAAGCATGGTAAGCATTAAAGGAGGGGTGCTAGGCAGTAAGGAAGAGTTGTGCTTAATTAAATTCATTCCTGGAAATGTGTAGCTTTACTGCCTGAATAAATGGATAAATATCTTGACACAGTATTAAACTAAATCATATGAAATGTCTGTGAGATTTCATAAGAAGGTAAGGCCTTAAAATTTTACATTTCTTGAAGCTATCTTGATTTCCTAAAATATTTATTGAGAACTTAAGTATAGCAGACTTTATTTCCAAACTCTGTTAATGCTTTAGAAGTGAGAAAGAAGAAATCCTCTTAGGACTCATCCACATTTTTTTTTTTGGTCGTTTTTCATTCATATAAACCCCTTAAACATACTTGGCAGTGTATTTAAAAGTTTTGCACTCAGCTTTCGGCAGTAACAGCTGGAGCGGCATCAACAGCAGATGGACTAGGCAGCATAAAAGACTCAGAAAGCTCTCAGAACTGAAGGTGACCCAACACATGAGGGCATTCGGGTGTCAGGTGAGAGGACAGATGAAAAGTAGGAAGAATAGCAGGGCTCTGGGAAGGGAAACATTCCCATCTACCTTTCCATTAGATAATAGAGTCTTAACTATCAACACTTCTTTTGCACCTAACACTATTTCTCAATCCCTTTTCCTAAACCAAGTAAAGGATTTGTTTTGGGGAACAGCAAATTTGTGCCCCAAATGGATGAATGTACTTCCAGAACTGATCTTAAATTGCATGGTTCTATTAGACAAGAATCATTGATTCATCATACCGGTTTAAGCAAAAAGAGAATTTATTGATTCATGTAACTGGAGATGTCAGGTAGGAAGGCTGGTTTTAGGTATTGTTTGGTTCAGAGCCTTAAATACTGTTGTCAGGACTCTGTCACTCTATCTCTCAATAAGCAAAAAGGGCTAGTGGTAGCCCTAGACTCAACTTATCTGCATTTCCACTCTAGGAAAGCAACAGTCTTTTCTTATTGCTGTGGCAGATAAGTCCATGGATAGACCCTGACTGGCCAAGCTTGGGTCACATGCCCTACTCTGAACCAATCACTATGGCTGGGAAGGGAACACTGTAGTTTGTCCAACTCTGGGCCATATATTCACCTCTGTGGTTATAGGAAAATAAGATCTACCCCATTTTTGGTAAGGATTCTCCATGAACTAATTGGAAGAGATTCCCTATAGTGACAGGAATAAGGGAAAGGGCTATACAGGATTGTAAGAGAATAGATGCTCATACTAATTGCTATGCATTTATTTCTGTATATATTTCATGTTCTTAAGAGTCTGAAGCTAAAAAATGTAGCCAATTCTTTTTTTCCCTTTCTGTATACACTTAAAATGGTAATAATGGGTAATATTAGTTATTTGCCTACTATCTGTCACTCTACTACGCATTTTATATACGTTTTCTCATTTAGATCCTACAATTGCTTTACTATTATTACCATTTTACAAATCAAAGGACTGAAATTCATAGAGATTAACTTGCTCAAGCCTACACACAAACAACATTTGCTGCAGAATAACTTATCCTACTTAGTAGTAGTTGCCATATCATTTTAATTTCTGCACAGGCTCGTCATACACAGGACACTTTCATTAATACTTTGAGTGTGAATCAATAGTAATATCAACAATAATGTGTAGCAGAGGTACCATTACATAAATAATAGTATATTAATTACTAGCATTTATTTGACACTACGTACCAGACATTAATGTCCATTTTCCCCCATAGCAGCCACAGTGATTTTTCAAAAGTATAAATCAGATCATGCCATCCCTTTAAAAATCCTCATGGACTTACTTTGCACTTAAAATGAAACCTGAACTTTTCACCATGTGCTAAAGGCCTTGATTCTCTCACTGACCTCAACTCACACCCCTCCTTCCTTGCTCATTTTGCAACACATCAAGTTCTTTTTTGGTTCAGCACATTTGCACTTGCTGTTTCATCCCCTGGAAGGTTTTTGCCTTTTTTTGTTGTTGCTATTGTTGTTCTTTGCAGGACTGATTCTCTCTTCTATTCGGATCTTAGCAGAAATATCACCTGAAAGACAGGCTTTCCAGGACCACCTATTAAAGCAACCGCCCACTCTCTCTCTCATGAGACAGAGTTTGTCTCTCTCATGTCCTCTTATTTATTTTTTTCATGCTGTTATGATCTGTCATTGTCTATCTTGTTTTGTTCATGTATCCTCAGCACTTTGAGCACACAGCCAAGCACATATTAGGCACTCAGCACTTTCTGAGGAGAGAAGAACACTACTGGAATCCTATTTTATACCAATAAGAAAATGAGGGGTTAGATGGGTTTTGGTAAATTGTCCAAATGTTGCATACCTGGTGAGTGGCAGAGCACTTATTCAAAGCCTTATTTCTTGACTCCAGAACCTATCCACTTACCACCCTTATTGGTTAGGGGCTTTCCTAGAGCCTAGTTAGAACTGGAACTAAGCAACGCAATAGTGTCCCAACACCATGTTTCTTCACGGGAAAATATTGATTGCTTATCCACTTGGAGTCATTCATAAAGTACAAGCAGGGTTGTCTGTATATCAGTCTCCTCCTTGAAATTTTCTTCACTTTACATCAATTTTATTACCACTTTTCAATTCCTGAAAATATTTCAAACTCTACATAGCATTGCTAAATATGAAACAAATTAATGGATGAAATCTTCTTTATTAAGAATCTTCAGTTATTCCATTGTCTGAATAGGAACAGATGAGAGGTAGTTTTATGATTCCTCTTCCTTCCCCCATTTCCCTCTACCCTTATAAAAAATGGCATGTCTCACTCCTCAGGATAACTGTGGTATTTATTTCCCAGCCTAGATGAGGAGACCAGCTGGTCATTCCTAAATTTTTTCTTTCTTCTTTTTTTTTTTTTTTTTTTTTTGAGATGGAGTCTCACTCTGTTGCCCAGGCTGGAGTGCAGTGGCACGATCTTGGCTCACTGCAAGCTCCGCCTCCCAGGTTCACGCCATTTTCCTGCCTCAGCCTCCCGAGGACTACAGGTGCCCACCATTATGCCCAGCTAATTTTTTGTATTTTTAGTAGAGACGGGGTTTCACCATGTTAGCCGGGATGGTCTCGATCTCCTGACCTCGTGATCCGCCCGCCTTGGCCTGCCAAAGTGCTGGGATTAACAGGCGTGAGCCACCATGCTAGGCCAATTTCTTTCTTTTAAGTAAGAATCAAAGCCCTTTTTCATAATCTTCCCTTCCAAAATCTATAAAAATATCTCTATTTATGAGCAGAATGATTTAGCGAGTAGGGTATGATTCAGAAGCCCAGAGTTCTAATTTGGGTTAACAATATTAACTATTTGTGATACAGCCCTATGGGGAAGTGGAGGGGAAAGAGGGACATTGTGTTCCCATCCTGCTTGTCACTTGATATTCATATTCTTTTTTAATGCACTCCAAGACCCAATTAAGTCACTACTATTACTATTTCAAAGATAAAAAATTTGGTTCATAAAAGTTATGTTAATTTCCTAAAAAGACAAAGATGGTAGTAGGTAACAGAAAAGGGACTCAAATCAAGGTGTGGCTGATTTTCAAGCCCTCACATGGACCACTATGATATCACACTAGAAGATGGTCCCAGGTAGTGGAATAATATTTTTCATTGCCAACTATTCACAACAAATTCACCAAACCTGGTTTACCCATAAATTCATATCAAATAAAGCCAAAGGAACCCTTATATGTTACATGGTGAAGGGTGGAGACACACAGGTAGAAATTGAGAAGGGATTCCACCAGCAAGTGGACAATCATGCAGAGAAAACAAAGGAATGCTGGCTCCCTGAAGGAACTCAAAGGTCTTTGTGAAAAAAATGAATATGTTCTAACTAAACAGAGCTCATCCTTGGCAAGATGCGAGGTATTGAAAATTTGCTTTGTCTGTTTTCTTTTCTCCTGCTCGCACTCTCCCAGCCTTCCAGGCACCCGCCCTGAGTGCAGTAATGGAGCATCTTACTCTAAAATCACGGTCTGCAGATTCCTTTCCTAAAAAGCATGGGGGAGAGGGGAGGAGGTGAAACTCAGGGGTAGGAACAGATCAAATGGGTACCACAAGGGTGCTGGTCTTTGTGAATTCGAGCCCAGAGAAAGCACTTAACAGTTGGAAAGTGAGTACAAACCCTGAATGTCAGTTACCTGCTTCGTCATGGCCTAGTTTTTTAATGTGGTCTGAGTTGAAGGTTGCCAGGTATAGCAGGTAAAAATGCAGGATGCTCAGGTGAATTTGAATTTCAGATACATATCAAATATTTTTTAATATGTCCCATGCAACATTTGTAACACACTTTTCCAAAAAATTTGCTGCATTGTTTATCTGAAATTTAAATTTAACTGGGTGTCTTGCATTTTGTCGGGCAGCTCAACCCCAGTCTCATTTTTTTCAAAACATTAAAACATGTAGACAATGCCATTTTCTTATTCGTGGATGAGCATTAAGAAAATCCTCCCCAGACTGAGCAATTCCAGTCACCCCTTCGTTCACTGACAGGATGGGACCTCGAAGCTGCTACTACCAGAGGCTGCCTCTGGGGATGTGACATTTGGGACTTGCCACGCCAAAAGAATGTGGGAGATGGGGTGAGAGAAAAAGGAACTAAAGAGATGGATTAGAGGTCTCTCTGTCTGCCTCTGCCTTCCAGATAAGTTGCAGTAAGAGTTTTCATTTATATCTCTTCTATAGTCTAAGACTGGTGAAGGACATCTGAAAGTCACAATGTGTTTTTAATACATTTTCCTTACCCTCGAATCTCAGTTGTGCTGCTGTGTTCCCTGCAGCCCTCTTAACAGCTGATCATGGGCTTTCTCTCTCCTCTAACTACATAAAGAATGCCTGCATGGTTAATTTTATAACTGAGGGAAGGGGAATTGTGCTGTGGTAAAAATGCAACTCATCGCTCCCAAATAGTTCAACCCTCTCCCTCCACTCATCTTGCATATAAATTTGCTAAAAATTGTAGCACTACAATAAGGATTGCATACATGCTAGACAGCTTCAGAAATCGTAGCCATAAAAAAATAAGCAGTAATCAATAATAGTTTTTTTTAAAAAAAATGCTTAACACAGTTGCAGATATTACATTTTCTCATAAAAATAATTTTGGAGAAGGCGACCTACAACTTACCCTTTTTGTGGCTTATGCCAAAAGTCTGCTTACTACTAACTTGAGGAGTCAGGTGAAACTCTGAAAGGTGCTAGGGTGGGGTGGGGGGATTATCTGAATATTCAGGCAGGCTTTACAATTTATATATAACTTCTTTTTAGTAGTTCAGCTGTATCTCAGGAGGAAGGTCGGGGTCAGGTATATTTTGAGAAAGCTCCTCATGGAATTTCCTTTTCTTTTCCCCCTAACCCATCATCAAGAAGAGGCTTGGTTATGTTTTGTTACTGACAGAGATGTGCACCCTTTTTAGCCTTCTTGAGGACTGATGCCTCCAGGACCTAATAGGGTGGCTTTTTAAAGATGGGCTTTCTGTGGCAGGTTCATTAAACTGACTTGCATGGCAAATGTCATTGCCTGGAGTCTATTAGGTCCTCTCCAATAGTGGCCAGATGGTTAGTGAGAGCAACTAAACCTGTCTCTTGGGTCAAGAACTACTTCTCCCTCTCTTTCACCTCTTTTGAGAAAAAAGAAAGAGGGGAACAACTGGCAAGCTATCTCCCAGAGCTAAAACTAAGTTAAGTGATTGCAACTGTCACCCACAACAAGGCTGTCATGCTATTATTGCAGGTAGAAAATTAATACATGGATGTTATTTGTTTGGGTTCAAAGGAGACAAGCTGTTCTAACATGGAGACCTTAAGTAGAACTCCATGCTGGACAGATGAAAGCTGTGAAGCAAAACAAAATGAAAGGCTTCCCAATCCTTATAGGTCAACAGTGATGGATCAGTGGAACACACTGAGAAAAAGTAGAAACCAATGAATTGTTATCAATCAGATAACAACCTTATCCTTAAATCTGTGCAACTGCTTTAAAAATTTATATATGGGAGTTTAAAAAAAATGATCTTGTGGAGGTAGTGAAAAGAATGGTGGCTCCCAAAGGCTTGGAAGAGTAGTGAGGAGGGGAGGATAAAGAGGGGATGGGTAATGGGTACAAAAATACAGTAAAGATAGAAGAAATAAGATCTAGCGTTTGGTAGCTGTACTAGTCCATTCTCACACTGCTATAAAGATATTACCTGAGACTGGGTAATTTATAAAGGAAAGAGGTTTAATTGACTCACAGTTCTGCATGGTTTGGGAGGCCTCAGGACACGTAAAATCATGACAGAAGGCAAAGGGGAAGCAAGGCCTTCTTCACCAAGAGAGAGGAGAGTGAAGTAAAGGGGAAGAGCCCTTATAAAACCATCAGATATTGTGAGAACTCACTCACTATCACGCGACAGCATAGGGGAAACTGCCTCCATGATCCAATCATCTCCCTCCCTCAACACGTGGGGATTACAAGTCCCTCCTTTGACATGTGAGAATTACAATTCGAGATGAGATTTGAGTGGGGACACAGAGCCAAACCATATTAGTAGCACAATAGGGAGATTCTAGTTAACAGTAATTTATTACATATTTTAAAATAACTAGAAGGGTAAATCTGGAATATTGCCAACACAAATAAATGATAAGTGTTTGAGGTGATGGATATCCCAGTTACCTAGATTTGATCATTACACTTTGTATGCTTGTATCAAAGTATCACATGTACCCCATAAATATGTAAAACTATTATGTAGCTATGAAAATAAAAACAGATTAGAAAGTGAGTTAGAATAAAATATAGGTTAACTTTAAATTTTTTTATTTTAAAATTTTAGATTTACATAAAATTGCAAAGACAGTACAGAGAGTTCCTAAATACCCTGCACCCAGTTTTCCCTATTTTAACATCTTACCTCAGTGAGGTATATTTGTCACAATTAATGAACCACTATTAACAAATAATTATCAAATAAAATTCATACTATATTCAAAAATAAATAAAAACTTAGAAATGATGACTAACTGACCTAACTGCATTTTTATTTGGTTACCTGAATAAAAAAATTTAAATATGTGTGAAGCTATTTGTTTTTCCTTGGAATTCATTAAATTCTACACTTGCCGTCATGTTAGGAATTTAGCTGTAGATCTTTCTGTTCCTGCTTTGTTATTAATGTTTTATTTTTATTAGTTAGCAGACTTTTAGAAAAGCAGTTATTTTAAATTTCAGGGGATTTATAGATTGAATCTGCACTTTACTACTTGTGAGACAGGTTAGCCATGTACTTATTTATATTTAGGGAGAAGATGGACTTAAATATATTTTTGATCAAAATCTCTATCAGTTTTTAAAGAATTTGTTTGTCTGTGGATCTGATCTGTCTGTATATCTGATTTTACAACTTTTGGGAAAGAGGATTGAATTACAGGTATGCTCAAAGACCTTGACATTCCTCAACTTCTTTATCACCATTAAAATATTTTAGATCAAGCCACAATAATAAAAAAGAATGAAGATTATTACAAATTCTGAAAAGTCTTAGTACCATAACTTCCCAGTGCAAATTGATCTATACTTGCCTTTTCTCTCTCTTCTCTCTTTGCCTTCCAACCTTGGATCCAGGGAGAAAGGACTTCAAGTACCTGGGCCACATTAAAAGTCACCCATATTATTGTTTATCTTTCTTTTCTCTCTCTGGTTCTAGATATGAGTAGCATTTTAATTTATTTCAACCAGGACTCTAGGGGTGTGTTTTAAAGTAGCCCTTCAAAATTAATTGAGCCCCAAAACAAAGATCAACAAATCCATCTCATGGATGAATAAATAGAGAACAATAATATTAGATCAATGGAAAAGATTTTTAACACACACACACGAACAACACTATGAAATGCAGAGTAGGATCTATCTCTTTAATCAGATTTAATATATTACAAAGAAATAAATTTTAGAAATAGCTATTTTCTATTAAATAGAATAAGAGAATCAAAAGAGAGTATTGAGATATGAAAATTGAAGTAGATCAAATAAAATTAACATTGAAAACAGTAAAAGGTAACAGGCTGTACAGATTATTTGAAGCTAAACAGAAGGTAACTATGAGAAGTATTCAGAACATGAAGGAAGTAAGCAAAGGGCAGACAATGTGAGCAGAAATGATTAGAGTAGAAGATAAAATATGGAGAGTTATTATATGAGTAACTAGAGTCTGAATAATAATGGACAGAGATAAACCCAAGAATTTGTGATAGAGAAGGAGAAAAAAAACACAAGCAAACAACTTCTCAGAGCTGAAAAAAATAATTGGATATGTATAGGTCTCTTTGATCTTCATAAAAACCAAAGCAGAAATTGACATCAAAACACACTGCTAATGAAAATTAATCAAAGTTATCAAGTTTGATACCAGTTTATCAAGACAGCTAGTTCTGCAAGGCATAGAAAGAAAAAGATTTTTCCTCTGTAACCTCAATTTTTATTCCTCAGAGGTAAGCACTTGAAACTCTTAGAAGTTTCTGATGGTTTTGACTTCTTTATAAATTTCTAAATGTGTAAGTTCAAAATATACTTGTACTGCTATATCTTGACTCTTTTTCAATGTTTAACATTATCTATTGATATCTCATCATAAAAGATGAGGACTGAGCTATCTAGATTCCATACAATTCATATCTGTTTACCCTCTTTCATTCTTATGCTTCTAATAAAATTGTTATAATTTTGAGATAGTTAAATACACAATGTTATCGTATTCCCATTGTTTGTATTAGATCATTTTACTACCCTCTCTGAAAGCAGTTAGGGGCTACTCTTTATTCCCAGTGTTCTTAAATTACATAATGACATAAATAAGGATTTTTCCCTCATTTGTTGTTTTGAGCCATCCATGGCTCTGTTCAATTTGAAAATTCTTATCCTTAGAGTCTATGAAATTTTTAGTTTTCTGTCTTCTCTTTTAGGAATTACTATTGCTTGACTATTTGGTGTCATGGACTGATTCTCAATATCTCTTAAGTTTTTCACTTCTATATTTCCTTTGTCTTTAGTTTTCTAAAATATTTTGTCAATGTTACACTTCAATTCCTTTTTATATTTATTTTTGTTATCTTTTTTTAATTTTCAAGAGCTATCTTTTTTGTTGTTTTTTGAATATTCCCTTTTATGGTCTCCTGTTCTTGTTTCATGCATATGTAGCACCATCTCTTATCTCGTTAAAGTGTTCGGACTTTTTTGGGGCACTTTTCTTGAATTTCTCAGTGGCTGTGCACTAATATTTACAAATAAGGCACTAAAAAGCTCACTAGAAGACCTGGGTACCATTCAATATACAAAATTTCATTTCACAGCCTGTTTTCTTCATGGCACATCTTCTCTAAACTGTTTTGTGTCTGCAAGTCTGGAATATCTTTGCTTTGTTCTCCTCAAAAAGTAAACACTCAGATTTGTACAGGATGAGAGGTGGGCAAATGCCATTTACCTGACTTAGGAAAGAAATGGGGAGTTTGAGTTTTTAAATACATTTTCAATCAATATACCTGTTTCCAGCCCCAGAGGTCTTCTTTTCAAGGAAACTGGTACCTCCATTCTTCAACTTTTCTGATGGGTTCTGTGATTTGAATTGTTTGTTCTCCTTTGTTCTATCTCTCTGTTCTGATCTAGCCATCAGCTTCCTCTGTTCTGCTAAATTAAATACCTGAAATCTCTCTGCTTGACTGGCCCCCCAATTTTGTTCTCCTATTCCCATTATGTGGGGATATGAACATATCTCAACCACTTATATTTCTTTTTTATTGTCATTTTGTAGGATATTGGAGAAAATGGTGGTAAACAAACAAACAAAGAATTCAGTTCATCTTATTTAATGGGAAGTTTAAATGTTTTAACTAAAACAAACAAAAGCTTACACTTACTGGTCTAAAGAGAACAAGAAAAAAATACAAATTACTTTTATTGGATTATAAAATCAGGCTAGCTTTGAATTTCTCTTCTGCAATTACAGATTGCTTTGGTTCTTTGTTGTTTTAAGGCCTCTCTAATCTAATTATATTTTCTTCTAAATTTATTGATTAAATGGGATCTTGAGTCAAGCCCTTCGTTTCCAGTTAGGCCACATTTATGGGTTACTAAGGAAGGCTGTCTGCCACAAAATAACTTCACAGAATCTGACATTTTGTCATTTAATAGTAGAATACACACTTTGTGTCGAGAAGGCTTTTAAAATTTCATAAATCCTTACTAAAATGGAAATGTCTATGGATGGGATAACCTCCTAAGCTATTAGCAATTATTAGGGTCAAGAAAGTCCAGAGCCAGAGGGAAGTGCAGCTGATCACTATACTAACCTTTTTGCATTCTTGAATTTTTTGTTTTTGGCTTTTATGCTAATTCAGTCATTTAGTTTATGGTGATGTTTGACTTTGGCTAATGCCTTTTGCCTTAGTTATTCCAAAATTTGGCTTCTGATATGGGTTTTTCTTTTTGTGGCTTGTTTTTTTTTTTTTTTTTTCCTGATTTCTTGCTCTCCACTTGGTCTTTACACTACTTGGGCATTTTGGAAGTTTTGACTGATTGGAAAGCTATTTTAGAGACTTAATTGTTCATGTTTTCCCTCTTAACCAGCAGTTATGGGTGAGTGAGTTGCCTTACTAGATTATGGATGATCGCTTCGCCTTTTCTATCTATATTCTATTGCCGAATCAATCTTTTCACTGATGAGTCACATTAATTAGCTAATACTGAGTGTCTGTAGAACAGTACTCTGATTTCTTTTTAGCCTACTCATTCCCAAATAAATATCATAGTAAAAGTCGGTATTACAGAAATGGAATAAGGAAAGGCCAGCTTAAAATAACCAATGTAACAAAGTGTTAATTTAAAATATTATGCATATAATTTTGCATACATTCTCAGTCCATTATAAAATTGTTTCAAATTATAAAATTATGTGTCTAAGAGGGCATAGTCCCTGAGATTAGTTGCTTTAGTTTATGAGGATACAGAGATTCTCCAAAGCCTATTTTTATATTATATATTCATAGGTATCAACAGTTATTTCTTTTATTCTTGGCAGTCATTTTTATGTTCTCTTTGGAAAAAAGGCAAACTGCTGTGTTCCAGTCATTTAATTGAAAATCCCACTGCAATGATCTTTACATCTAATACAACTTGCCAGTGGCTTTCATACAGAAATAGTTTTCAAGTAAAACATGCTTTTCTACCATTCCAAAAAGAGAAGGAATGTGGTTAAAAAATGAAGGCATTAGTTTACCAACAGCTACCACCATGCTCTCAGAATTTTAAAATTGTGCAATCATCCATATAAAATAAATTTATTTTTATAATAATTTTTCCCTTCATTCCAACCAACTATTGTTAGCTGTGACTTATTTACCTTCTTGAAACTTTAACAGTCTTTATCAAGGCTGCCTTATGTCTACTGTCATTTTTCTGTGCAGGAGTATACAACTTAACTAGAATTCATTTTATCTCTTTTTCAATACAATGCATAGTTTTATAAACTTGTTAAGTGGGGGATTCTGCTTTTTTCCTTTAACATGGAGATGTGTCATATGTGTCATTTCCTGAGGATGGTCCAGTGGTCTAGTGCGTGTGTGTGTGTGTGTGTGTGTGCATGTGTGTTTGTGTGTTTTAATAAATTGGAAGCAAGAACATTTGATGTTCATGAAGTTACACTTATTTATTACGGAAAACAAAAAGACAGCTTTACATCATAACATGTCTTTAATAATCAGGTTTATATGCCTCAAAGGCTAAGAAAAACTATGATGAAATGTCATATCATGTAAATCTATCAATTAGGATGTTAACATTTTCTGTTTGTAATATAAATGAGAGCCACTAGATTACCAATCTGCATGTTAAATAAATGCAGCATCAAGCATAAGTAGGTAATAATGCATCCTACAATAAAATTCCAATCATATATAGCAAATGAACAGGTCTGTTAATTTTCTATGCCCAAATTCCTCATTCTTCTCCTCTTCAAATTTACCTTTTGTTTTTTTTCAAATCTAAGAAAGGTCAAATGTAAAAGTGAGAGCTAGTCTCAACTGTAACCTCCAAGATACTAGTAATCATGGCTCTTCTCTCTCTCTCTCTCTCTTTTTTTTTTTTTTTTTTGGTATAGCACCAATCAGAATCACCTATCTATTCAATTTACCAACTATATCAGAAGCTTACTTTGAGAACTCGGCCACCTTTCCTACATTTTTGAGGTTCTAAGCAAGGATCATTAGGAGCTCATGAAGTGTTCTTTATCTGGAAGATATACAATGTGTGTTGCTTAACTAATTAAAAATGGAATTATGATAGAAATAGCACATCAATTTATTGATCTGTTCATGAACATTGATCTAAAATATTTCTCAGAAGAGCCTATTGATTTAATTACTTCAGTTATGCCTTAATACAGTTAAAAGAGTTAACTTTTTAGTGTAATGTAATTTTCACATTAATATGTATAATTAATAACTTTTGTTCCACCTTATGAAGCACATTAATGTAACCTGTGAGACTCTCATCTATATAAAATTTTATATGTATATATGCACATTGAAGATATATTTATTTATACAGGTGAACATCAATATATCATTAGCCAAGAGAATATCTAAATTTCATAGTGGCAAATAACCTAAATTCTCAGAGCTGCAGTCTTCTTCTCTCTAACATGGAACTAATATCTCCCTTGCCTCCTGCAAGAATTTGGTAACTATTAACAGAGATACTATATATAAGAACAGTCTAAGAAATGGTAAATGAAAAGGTCCCATTAAACAGTCCCATTAGATGTATAAAAATAAGTGATTTTTATACAAGCAGTGTGCTTGGCTCAATACACATTTTAACACGGAGATATTAATGTAATAAAAGACAAGTAGACATATCTATATTTCCTGTGACCTGGTAGATCACATTTCTTTTGAGTTGAAAGGTCTTGCCTAAAAATTTCAAATGTTAGTTACTGTGATTTAAGTCAAAGATAAATTTAAGATATACCTAATTAAATTCTATATTGAATAGCACTATTGTAAGATTTTAGTATATATGTGTGCATATGTGTATAAAATATTACATAATATCTATAATATTTATATTCTTAATGTAAGTGAAATAAACCTAATGTAAATTTTAAAAGTATAACAATATGTTTTGAAATAAACAAATAAAAAATAAATGTTGTTTTTTTCAATGACATAATCTTTGTAATTAACTACCTTGTAGGATATAGCCTAGGAAGAGATGTATTCTATATTCCTGTAAAAAAATCTTGCCAAACATTAAAGAAATACTCAATATTTTTATTTGTAAAAATTTTGAACTGAATAGTAAGCAATATCCAGAAAACTTTTCAATAGATTCACTAAATTGCTGAGTAAGTGAGAAAATAGACTGAGAAGTTTAATAGTTATAAATTACTTTTTTGATATTAAGCTTGGTTGCATTTCAAAATCTTTTCTTCATTTTGTGCCCAAAGTTCAATTAACTAATACTTTCTACATCTTGACAGCTAGGTCATTGAAGAGGTTAATCAAGTGTTTGGATTTTATTTGTTATCAAGGTATAACTACTCATCTTCATATTGTGAGTACTTAGTTATTTCTGATGGTTTTAAATCTGAGAGGTTGATTCAGTTCTTAAATAGGAATGCATAGAGGAAGCTCTGTTTCAACATCTCCTGGTCCAGCACTGTCAGGCGGGCTCTGCTTTTGGTGTTCTACCAGCAGATGAAATCTTGTTCTTGAATTCCAGCCTCTTTTGGGCTAATTTCTGTTCTTCTGCTCTCTTCTCTCACCACCAGCCTCTAGAACTCAGATGCCCTGGGCTTATAAGTTTGCTTTGGGTCACTGACTAAACTGATGAGTCTCTTTGATGTGGCCGCATCTGCCCATCTGGACCCAGTCAGGCTGCCTGCCAATTTAGCCCTTTGTTAACTCATCCCCTTACTTGGATCTCCAGTAATTACTGCCATGTCCTGCTCAAATTGGCATCCCAGATGCTGGCCTTTTCTTCAACCTTGCTTTGTGATACTGCTATCCTTCATGTCTTTTCCTTTGTGACTCATCTCTAGGTGTCATACTCTTCTTGGTATTACAAAGTATTTTAGTTAGATATCATGAAATCTTTGCTTGAATACCTTCAGTGATCAGAAGCACAATATCTACCAAGGAACTCAATTCCATTTTCATTATAACACTTATTGTTAGAAAATCCTGTCTTATTTTTAGTCAAATTCAGCTTCTCTACAGTTTTTTTCCCTAGTTTGACCTCACCAACAATGAGCATAGTACTTGTACATTGTAGACAGTAAATGGTAGTAAATGGTAGTGGCTATTATTTTTAACTCAAAGTTTTCAATTGGAAGATTTTTCTCATTAAAAATAACATAGTTGAAATAAAAAATTATGTCTCTAACTTTAATGGAACTCACTTATGCTCTGAAGTTAGAGATATTTCTGAATTTCTTCAAAGTTTATTTGGCACTTTTTTATTCAGAAAGTAATTATTTCAGATAAACATATTACTTTCTATTTTTTCTGTTAAAATGTTCATTTTTCTCTCTACTTCTAATCTTTATTAAAATAAAACCTACATTCTTATAATCCTAATTTCCTGCATGTTTTTCAATATTTGTTGTCCTGAAGTTTATTGAGGCTTAACATTCAATATCACAATCTAATTTTTCTGTATTTTTCACACATACTTAAATTGATTCATCATTTTAAATATTAAATATTTAAATATTTCAACAGGTAGATACATTTAAATACAGTTTCTTCCTTTTTTCTCTCTGAGTTTTAAGAAATAAGATTTTGTGTTTTCCAAATCCTTAGTTTATTCCTAATTTCATTCTCTAAGGTTGTTATTCTGGGTTTTCCTGAACAAAATAGCTCAATTTTATTAGGATTTAATGTTTCTATTGTGATAAATTACTAGGAAAGTTAGATTTATGTTACTGTTAATACCATGCTGTATTTAGTTAATTTATACTTTATGTTAATTGATTTAGGTTCTGAGTTGACTTCCTGTATAATATCTATCTCCTAAAAAGCACCTATCCTATATTTTAAATGTGTTTTATGATTCTAGGCTAATATTAAGAAGCTCATTCATGGAAGAAAACCTTGTTAATTTATTTATTTATATCTTAGAATGAATCTTAAAGTTATTTTTAAAATTAAAATTTTTAATGTAGCAGAAGTAAATTAGTGGCTTAGATGAGTCTTGCATGCTGCAAAACTAAAACGAGATTGGACAGTTTGCTTACTATGGAAATAAATGAAGAAGATGATTTAGGAATAAATATTTGACTTCTTATTCATTCAGAATGCATCAATTATTTTAATTGATTAGTCATGTCTGAATTTAAATATGCTGAAACAATTCTTAATATTTAGTCTATATTAATTTTATGTATTTTTGTTTTGAGAAACAATCCTTGTCCCCTAATTTAAATTTGACATAATTTGAAAAGTCTAGACTGAGTGTTCCAAGGCATAGGTACCTTGACACATTATCATTAGGAGTCTTCACAGCCACACTTTAAGCTAATGAGGCAATTACTGTCCTCATTCTAATTATAAAGAAGCTGAGGCTTAGAAAATATAACTTGCTAAAAGTTAGTTAGTAAATGGTAGTCTCAATATTTACATAAGCTATGTGTAACTTCCTCTTTGTCATTTCTCTTGATTTCACCCTTTCACACTGTAGTCACTCACTCTCATGTTTATACCTTTGACATTGGCAAAAACTGCAGTTCTCCATAATCTCCATTTCAATCACTTACCCTCTGACCAATTGCCTCTAGAGCTATACTCTAAGAATCCTTTGATCCCACTAGAACCATTAATCTATTGGACCTACTTTTTTTGTTCTATCTTTCATTGTCTTTATGTGTTTTCTTGCTTTCTAAGCCAGCTTAAAATTTATGGGTAATCATAATCATGCACGCATAAACCCTCAACTCCTTTGCCCTCTCCAATGTATCACATTCATTTGGCAAAATTCCAATCCAGCTTAAATTCAGTTCTTTGTTACTCTGAGCCTACGTCTTAACAGCTGAATGTTACTAGAGAAAGTGAAACAAACTATTCTGCCTTTAAATACTAAATGATCCCTGGTAACTGTACTCTATGTTCCTAGTCCATTCCCTTTCTTAATTTGCTAGATGATTTTTAATCCTTTCTTCTCTTTCCTCAACTTTTCTACATCTTTGATTTCAGCAGATGACCTTGAATCATGCTTCATCTAAAAATTGAAGCCTTCATAGGAGAACTTCTAAAAATTCCTACCACTATATCTGTTCATGCAAATATTCCACACAGTAACTAAATAGTAATAAAATAGTAATATAATAATATTCAGTTACTATGAGTGAATCCTAAGGCCAAATCCTTTATGTCTACCCTGGGTTCCATCTGCTATTATCTACTAAAGAACATTTCCAGATAGTCTCTCCTCTGTCTCCAGCATCATCATCTTCTTTGTTGATTATTGCATCACCCTATACCCGTTGTAATTTCTCCCATCTTAATCCCATTTTCCCTCCAGCAACTGACTCATTCCCATCCTCTTGACATCGAAACTACTTGAAAGAGTCCTCTATTCCTGCCATCCTCAGTTTCTTTCTTTTTGCTCTTTCTTGCACACCTTCAGATTAGGTTTTTACTCTATTCAATGAAACTGCTCTTGAGAAGGTCACCAGTGATCACCATGCTGTTAAATCCAGTGGCCATTCCTTAGCATTTGACCACACTGATCACTCTTCCCTTAAAACCATTTGATACTTGGCATCTAAACATACTCACCTAGTTCTCCTTCTACCTTGCTAGCTACTCTAGCTACTCTTGTTCTCGGTTTCTTTGTTGGTTCCTTTTCATCTCAACCATCTCTAAGGATCAGAGTGCCATAGGGCAGAGTTTAGAACTTGGATTTCTCTTGTTGTTCTCTCATTATCTATGAACTAACACTCTCTGGGGATGAGTTAAATACCATCTTAATACTAATAACTTTCCTCTGAATTCCATACCAACATATCTAACTGCCTACTTCATATGTTCAGTAGGAGGTTTAATGATAAGCACTTCAAAATTAATATGTTAAAACCTGAGCACTACCTGACTTCCCACCAATATTCTTTCCTCTGTTCTCATTTCAGTAATGACAATTCTGTTTTCTGGTTGCTAGAGTCAAAAAGCTTAGCACGGTTTTTGGCTCCTTCCTTTCTGTCACATTCAGAATCCTGTTGTCTGTACCTTCAAAACATATTCTGAGTTCAACCACTTCTCACCACTCCTAGTGCCAGTTCAACCATCTTCTCATCTAGATTATTGCCACAGTCTCCTAATCGGCCTCTGTGTCTCTGTCCACACCCATTCTTAATTAGTATACAGACAGATCCTAAAATATGTCAGATTATGTCACTCCTTTTCTTAGTCAGAATGAAAGCTTGCAAAGTTCCAAGAAATGTAGCATCCATTACCTGCCTGAGATCCTTTTCTCCTCTTTTTATCTTTGTTCCCTCTTTCCACCCACTTTGGCTTTGTCACTCTCCCTGAAACACTGTAAAGAAGCTGCTTGCTCACTCAGGGTATCAGCATTTGGTGTTCCTCCTGCCCAACAATCTCTTCCACAGAAGTCCTCAGGAATAACTCCCTCACCTTCTTCAGGTCTTTTGTTAAATATACCTTCTCATGTGATTCAACTTTTCCTTTATCTTATACTTCATATCCTTGTTCCCTGCTTTACTTATGTTTCTTTGTTATGATATTATCTAATTCATCTTTTTAAGTGTCCACTTCTATTACTTGAATGTAAGCTTCATGGCTATAGGAAGTGTTGTCTTGTGCATGTGTGTGTGTGTATGTGTGTGTGTTTATGTCTATGTGTGGTTTTATATATATGCATATTGTTATTGATTTTAGTAGTGTTATTATTGCTGAATCTAGGATAGTTCCTGGCACATAGTAGGTGCTCAATAAATATTTGCTCAATAAATGAATACATAGATGAGGCAGAATTCAAACTTGGCATCAGCTCATTCCAAAAATGTATGTAATTTCCATTGTTTAAATTTGAATCAGCAATCAAGTAATTAAATACATTGAGCTCTGTGCTAGGCCCTAAAAGGCAAGCAGTTATGGAGTTTATGCTCTTGTTGTAGAGCACATAAAGCCAAGAGTGAACAACAGAACTTGGCATACAATTACTTGCCAATGGTGTGGTACTGATTACAAGTCCTACAAAAGAGAAATGAACAAGACACAAAGAAACTCATTATAGTTTCAGAAAAGGTAGCACGATTAAGTTGATTTAAGGTGACATTTAGCCAGATTATGAGAACAAAGAATCAGATGGGAAGGACACTGCAGTCTTGAGTGACTAGAATGAATTAGAGGTGAAATTGGGGAATAAGTTTTAATATGGCAGGTGGTATTCCAAGAAAAACACATGAGAGTTGAGATTTTAGGGCGTGGTAATTTGAAAGCTAGAGTGTAACCTTAGGCCCGAATGCTAACTATATAATCAGGCTTCCTGATTATTTATATTTGTGGAACCAAAATACTTTGATTTTATAGAAGTTACACATACACCACAATTCTCTTCTAAAAGGAGTACATTACTCATAAACCTTAATTCCATACCCTTGTATTGTTAGCGGGCTTTGCTTACGCCTTGTTTTTCACCTAAACACAAATGCTATACTATTTCCTTTTTTTCTTTCTTTTCATTTGTTTTATTTATTTATTTATTTTCAAGACAGGGTCTTGCTCTGTCATCCAGGCTAGAGTGCAGTGGCGTGATCTCGGCTCACTGCAGCCTTTACTTCCTGGGCTTAAGCCATCCTCCCATCTCAGCCTCTGGAGTAGCTGGGACTATAAGCATGCACCACCATGCCGGACTTTTTATTTTTTGTATTGACGGGGGTTCACCATGTTGCCCATGAGCTCAAGCCATCCACCCACCTCGGCCACCCAAAGTCTGGGATTACAGATATGAGCCACCATGCCTGGCCAGCGGTATTTTTATGTATCAATGCTTCTAATATGGTGCCTTCTGTATAGTCCCTGGATTTATTTTGGACTTCTTTCTTCTCATTACCAAAATACAACATTAAAGTTTACATTGTAAAGAAAAGAAAGGCTAATGATAAAACCTTCTCTGAGATGTTTAGAAAAGTGTCAGTAGCTCTGAAAGTATTAATCTTT
The DNA here is from genome assembly GCF_000001405.40 of Homo sapiens. Taxonomy (NCBI): domain Eukaryota; kingdom Metazoa; phylum Chordata; class Mammalia; order Primates; family Hominidae; genus Homo; species Homo sapiens. The sequence goes on along the minus strand of NC_000011.10, from coordinate 105,796,756 downwards.
TAAATGTTATGGAAAAATAGATTTTCCTGGATTTACTTAAGGGGCCACTTTATTTTCTAGCAAAACGATAACTTTTCTTTCTTAATGTTACTTTCTTAGTTTCCCATATGAATAAACTACAGATAACTACTCACTACCTATGGTCTACTTGTTTTCTTTTGCACCTCACAGGAAGATGGAGAAACCAGAACACTGATGGCAATCATCCTACACAAAAGGGGACTGATTGAGGGTAATTACAGTAATGACACAGTATTTATCAAATTTTGGAAATGTATGACTAAAATGAGAATTTATATCCATGAGGCTAGTTACAGTGGAAACTAGATGCTCTGAGAGGCCAGCTCACATGGTTTCCAAATCTCACTAACTGCTGCCAACTTATATAATCAATATCAAAGTTGTATCATGTTTCAGATTCAAGGTTTGAAAAAGAAAAATGACAGATTGAAGATTTGATCAAATAGAAAGTACCCAAATAAATAAACACATGGTAGAGAGAGCAAAACATTTGGACAGTCTTGCCAAATGTACTGCATTTGATTTTAGGATAATGGATAAGTTGGATGGAATCAATGAAAATATTGAATTGCATCCTGGGGAATGAACAGTACAGAAAAGAGAGGGTTTGGCTGAAGATAAAATTGAAATGGAAGCACCTGATATAAATATATTTTAAAATGATACAGGTTATCAAGAAGTCACTACGTCAAAACTGAAAGCTTGGGATAATGATTAGAAATGGGTCTCTCTGCAGGCATTTGTGACTGGCAATCTTTCCTGCATGAACTCTCAGCCAAAATGCCACTTGTCATTTGCTGAAGCTCCTACCTTACTTCCTCTATTTTACTTTGAATTATCTAAGCCACTGAAAGAAGCATAAATGTATTGTATTTTTAGGCAACAGCTATAAAGTTTATGCCAATAACAACAATAATATAGTAATAAAGTTGAATATAAATGCATAATAAGCATCGATGTTCTAGCACCATGTTGATTTTCTTCATTTTTCTATTTTTCTAAAAAGAATGAAGATCTCTGATCTTCTCAAATTATTACAACCATTAAGTGTTGCTTTCCCTGGCTTAGTGCTTACCCCTTTCCAAATCAGTTCTCTCCAGAGTGATCTTTTACTCTCAGTTTGTTAACACCCATCACTAGCTTTCCATTACCCTTAGAATGAAGTGCAAACTATTTTAAGTCTTTTCTCACTTGGCCTAAGATGATCTCTTACCCCTCATCTCCTGCACCCAAACGTCCACATCACACATTCACACTCTAGTTCCTTTCGTAATAAACTTCCTTCAGTTTCTTGAATGTTTCATACTCTCCTACAAGTTTTTCAGGGGGAGCCAAGGCATGACTTCTCCATGAATCCTTAGAAGACCACTCTGAACTACTATGTGCGTGTATGGTGATAACATCGTATTCTTCCTCTATCAGTTCACTTGTCACGTCATTTAATAATCTCTTGTTTAATTAATTTCTTTCCTGCCTTCTAGACTGGAGTGCTTAACAATTTCTGGTATCCTTAACCTATTAAACATTCTGGTGAAGTCTGTAGTTCTTTTCTCAGAACTACGCTTTTAAATGTATGAAATAAATTACACAGACAACAAAAGTAACCAGTTATGCAGCGCACCAGCATGGCACATGTATACACATGTAACTGAAATTCAATTTCAAAGTATTAAAACTAAATTTGTGATATGATAAGATACCTGATTCTTTATTAATGCATTAAATAACAAAACCTAATGGTGTGTCAATAACAGTTTCAAAATCATTATGAGTAAAAATGGTCTTCTCAGATGTGTGCAACACTGAATGTGGTATGTAATTATCTGTGATTTTTAATGTTTCACAAAGTCACAGGTACTGCTAATACCTCGGTGGTTTATGGCCTATATTCATAATTTAAATGCTAAATTTGAGTTTCAGGTTAAGAAAACTAAAGATGTAATTAAGATGTAATTTTTTTTCCTATCTAGAAGTTTACAATTCTCCATCTCCAAGATTAAAACCCCTGGATTAGAATGTCAGCTCTGTAAGGACAGGTCTCAGATCTGTCTTATCATTGAATCCCTATTTATTACTACATAGCCATATAACCATAACCACAACCATAACTCTCTCTCTCTATATATATATATGTATATATCTTATGAGAGAGATATATATAGATAGATATAGATAGATATGTATATATCTCAGAGAGACAGATATGTGTGTGTGTGTATATGTATATATATATATATATATATATATATATATATATATATACATACATATACACACACACAGACACACACACACACACACACCCCGGCACACACATACACATATATGTGTGTATATACACCAGTTCCTGTTCTATTTGCTGGAGATAGAGCTGTGAATAACAAGCCAAAAACCCTGTATCACAGGGTTTTCACTCCATTGGAAAAGGAAAGCAGTCTCTAGCATTTCATAGACTGTTTATAAACATGAATGTTCCTCTTTTTGCTTTGTCTTCTTCTAAGATCAATAAGTGCCCACAAACACCGAATAAGATAGTTTTTAATCGGCCATTGGAATTTGGAATTAATTGGTGGACAAAGAGACCATTTAAGAAATTGAGTGATTGTCATTACCCTTAAAATAGACATTATCATAACTGCCGACTACATTTATGGCTCCTAGATATGCAGAATTATAATTCTCACATCTCTTTGTGTTTGCTCATGCAATTCTTCCTTCTGTGAGTGCCTACTGCTCCTGATTAAATACTAACTCTTCAAGATTAAAATATCTCTTACTCTGTGAAGAGTTCTCTCCATTCTTCCCCACACTGCTTCACCATTGTGGTTAGGAATCCTCCAAACATCCTTTGGTGTTCAAATAGCATGTTGGGCATATCTCTATTTTTGGACAGTTGGCAAGAGTGACATTCTCTGCCTGTGTATAGCATGTTGGGCATATCTCTATTTTTGGACAGTTGGCAAGAGTGACATTCTCTGCCTGTGTATTGATATCCCCACTTTCCTTCCCCTAAGCTCTATGTCTACCAGACATTCCATGACCCTGTGTCTGGTAGAGCTAAAGTTCTCCAGAAAAGCAGAGACTTTGTTGCACCCGCTGAATCACTGCTTCCAAATTCCTGTGGGAGGAACAGCTTCATGGGAGGCTTTCAAATCTGTGAACATCCATTGCCTTATTAAGAATGTTTAAAGATCCACTTTAAGAGAGGTAATAGAGTCCTGCATTGTGGAGCTCTCAGAGCCCTTTAAAAAGTGACATTATATGCATTTTTAATAGTCCCTGCTGTGGGATTCTATGGGTCTCTTCTCTGATGGAGCAGAAGACAGACCTAGCAGGAACCCTAGATGTGATAATCTTAGTGCTTGACCTGTATTGTCCCTTTGCCTCTATTTACCCCTGGGGAAGTGGTAGAATAGGGTCTGTGTAGTATCCCTGTCGCTGTCCACAGTTTTGAAACCCAAGGGAAATGGTGCAGACTTGTGGATGCACTCAAGAGACTTTCTGGACCTCACTCCATCGGCCTTGTCTAATCTAGGGCCCCCAGAGAGTGGTAGCTCCATCTTATTTACATCTCCAGAAGTCAGCATAGTGCTCAGCATTTGGTAGTTCTCTATAAATGTTTCTTGAACTGACTCAAAGTATTTTAAATGAAATTATGAGATTAGCCTGCTGGCATAAGAACTTGTTTACACTGTGCACTTTTCCTTAAATAAGAGAATATAGGGAAAGTTTGAGAATCTGAAATGCCTTTGAGTGTATTGTTGAACATCTCAATAATTCAATTTCTGAGTATATAGTAGGGATCATATGCAGCCTGTCTTGTATGTTGGACAAACTCTGGTTGGCAAACTGGCATAGATCAGACCAAGTGCCCAGATGCAATATTAAATACTCATTTAGGGTCTGTCTCCTGCTCTAAACTATAAGCCAGTTGAAGGCAGTGTCTTAAATTTGTTAAATTATTTTCATTGAACTGAACAACTTAGATAAGGATTTTAATTAGAAATTAAAATTAAACTGATAGTTTTAAAAATAATGATATGTATAACCGCCATTCCTTTTATTGATATTTATTGGAAGAAATAAGCAAATATCTTCAGGTATGTTAAAAGTATGTGTTGCTAATTTTGAAAATTTACTTCTCTAATATAAAGGTAAGGCATGCAAAATTTTGGGTGGTATATGGAACATGTATCAAAGTTATGACTAAAAGTTGTGTTTGTTTTCCACATGAAAAAGTACCTAATTTATTCTTGAAGAAATGGTGCTTCTTATAATACAAATATATAAAAATTTTAATTATAAGGTGTGAGGATTTTGTGTTCACTGTTACTGTCAAAAGTACCTCTCTCACTGGAACTCTCTTATACAATGCTTTTAGGCAAAGTAAATTTCAAATTTGACTATGACCACCCCTTTTGCAAATGACTTTTTATATCTGAATATTCTTAAACTATTTTAACATAATTTAAGTTCTAGCTCTTGATGTTCGTTTATTTCTTGTACTTTCTGTAAATTTCATCATATTACACAAACTGGTGTTTACTTTTATGTTACAAGCTTAATAGTCATTATGAAGTTCAGTATTATTTTATTCCTGCTTTTCCTATGAGAAGAAACAAGTATAGTTTTATGCTTTGGCATTCTTGAAATTTTTTTCTAATATCTTTGACATGTGGCATTTATAAAACATATTTTAAAAGAATTCAGCTACCTAAGGGTAAGTGATATTGCTGCTTCTATTTTCATTTGAGTCAACACTAGATCAGATCCATGAGAATAAACTGTCTTACATGAAATTCCCTGAGAACGTCCCCAGCCCTTCTACATTTCCTATTTGTCATCCTGGAATAAATCCTCTTACTAAGCTTTAATGCTATACAGCATTCATGACATTGCCCACGTGTAATTCACTTTAGTATTAAATTTCTAATGTTAACTTCAAATGGACATTCAAATTCATATTGCTGAGTGCTTTGGACACTCAGGTGCCTTATTTTTCTCTATCTTATGATGAGAAATTCTCTATAAGTTGAGCTAGGTCATTCCTTTTGAACAGTTGAAAGAATCACTGAGTAGCTAATATTACCAGGTCCATGTTTTTGTGCAGATACATGTTCTATGTAGTTGAGAAGACTGAACAGGACTAGAACTTGGCACTCCATGGCACATTTAGAAACTGGTAAGAGAAACAATCACTAAGAATTGAGGACTGAAATGGGAGTAATCTTCATTAACGATGAATATGGAAGCCCCACATGTATAATGCATCTGTAATATTTTTCAACTTAAAAAATTAATTAGAAAAACATTTACAACTCTATAGAAGAACATTATGCATTAAATGCACAATCATTGTTTTTTGTTGAGACCAACCAACAAAATACACTTCGTTTGGACATATTAGTATTGATATGAATATAAATGCATATCACAATTATTTCTCTTTACCACTGTGGACAGACAATATCTTTACTTTGGTGATTGTCTTTTGATTTTAAAGCAGCACTCTAATTCATAATTCTACTTTTCGTTGTTGCTGTTGGCTTAGACCAAACTGCCTCTCATGTATCTTGTATTAAATGAGCCAATTTAGGGGGAAAAAAGCAAAACAAAACCCTCAGACATGATCAGCAAGAAGGCCATCTGTGCTGGAAGCTCCCTCAGCACTTTCAGGGATGGATCAGCCGAGCTCATCATCTACCCAGTGGGAGGGCCACACTCAGAGAGGCCATTGGATCTGCTGACACAGGCTCTGCATGATGATAAATAGAGTAGAATGCTGTCAATACGAAGAGCATTTTGCAATGGACAGCCAAGGTTCTTCAGGGCAGCAAAGAAAGCAAATAATCAAACCACATAAAAAGGAAATGGAAGGATATATGCTTCCACATATAATGATCCATTATTTTAACTCGCATTTTCCAGACTTAGCTCTTCTCTTCATCTTTTCTGGATCTCAAAGAACTTTTCTGATATATCAAATCATTACATTTAAAGTGTCAGTAGTACCATGATAATTCTATGTCTTGCAAACCTGTGCTAAGACTTCCATTATTTTTAAATTTATAGCATTATGTCTAATCCTTTTATTTCCCTGGCTTGAGGCAGAAAGGTGAAAAAGTAATGGAAGAATGGGTGCACAAGGGCATTAAGGTTACATTTGGGATGCTTCATGTTTTGTTATTAATTCTCCGTGCTTGCCAGGGTAGTTTAAAAACCGGCAAGGGAGCTAGGAGGTAGTGTGTCATTTTAGCTGCATGGGAGAAGACAACTAAGCTCATAGATCACCTGCCACTGTTGTCTGAAGTTGAGGGGTGGGCAACACATGTACCCCTAGTGACTGATGGATCAAAAGAGAGTTTTCAGACAAAGCTTTGTAAAAAGATTTGTCCTAGTATTGGCAGTGAATTACTAAAGCGTGACACACAGCAATGTGCATTGGCTTCTATAAAGGTAACAGATGTCTCTCTGACAGGTGAGCTAGAGAACACAGTTTGTGTAGTAAAAGAATGTACAAAGGGAGACAGAATAAAAAAATTTGGAGAAGTTCCCACCCAGCTTGTTGTGCTTACCAATGCAGGTGGAAGGAAAGAATGGATTATCTTCTCTAAGATTTTGGTTGGCAGTTTTGCATTTTGAATAGCAAACAGCATTTCATAGCTGTGTGAGAGTGATAGAAAAAAAATTCTGCATTTTCCTTCTCACTTGCAGAAGCATAAAGTCCCCTTGTGTGATTCAGACTGCCTTGATCATCCATCAGTGTTGCTGTCCATTCCATTTTAAATAGGAGTGCTTCAGAAGAAGCAGCCTATTCTTCAAATTGACATTTAGGACTGTTAAGAGTACCACAATGACTTCACTTAGCAATTTTTTTGGTGCTGCTTCTTTTGATCAGTAAAGTCACCCTGAGCAATAATGAATTTAAAGACATCCACTTAGAGAATGTGCTTATGTAAGCTTAAATTTCACTTCACATCAAAATATTATCTTTAGTGTTTTTCTTTTAAGTAATGTCAACAGAAATAAGATAAAAGAATTTGGATTGTTGGAACTGCAGTGAGAAAGGGGTATGATTGACTCTAATAACTTTCCAGCTGAAAAACTGATGCCTAAAGAGGTAGAGCTGCTCATGGTCACAGGGCACTTTAATTAAAGGCCCTTCAGATCCAGCACCAAGGCTGATTATGCTCCAAGAACAAAGGAGGGGCGGGAGGACATACATGACCTGTCTCTGAACACTTTGAACACTTATTTGAATATGCATTTTGCTTGGCATACATAAATGTTATAATTGGTGTTAGACTTTTTATGTTCTTGATGAGTTCGGAGAAGATAAAAATCAATGGGGGCTTGAATCATCTTGGAAAGCTTTCTCAGCAGTCTGAGATCTAATATAAACCTGTAACCATTGATGAGACTCTACCCTCAGTGGTCTTTTATAATTGCAATTCCAATGGCTTGGAAGCATATGACTACTATTTTTGTAGATCTATAGTTCATCATATCAAAGAATTAACATCTTAAGTTGTTTTTGCTGCCTTTTTTGCCTTTTGGTTTTTACCAGTTCTATCTGTGATGCTATAAAATTTATGTTCTCTGTTCCAAAAAAGCATGCTTTTTTATCTTTTGGTCAGATTTTATTTTCAGAATGAGGGTAGATTCCATTAAATTATTTTATCTACCTGTGTGTCACTAGGAATGTCTAACTTGTACTTTTGGTTGTAGACAATTTAGTCCTAAGTCCTAATTCCCTGTGGCTTAAGGATTCCACCATTAATTATTCAACTTTTTGAATGTGATTTTCATGTCACTGCCTAGTCTTCATATAAATATATTTTATCAGAACTATAAGATTTTTCAAGGGAGAGTTGAATCTCCTTATTTCAGGATCCATTTTTGGGTTTTCATCCAACCAGTCCCGGAGATATTGACTAGCAGTGGAAAGCCTTTTCTTTTCTTTTCAACCCTCACTATCCCCAACCTCATCCCTTTTGGAGTCCCCAGTGTCTGTTGTTTCCATCTTTATGTTCATGTGTACTCATTGTTTAGCTCCCACTTATAAGTGAGAACATGCAGTGTTAGGTTTCCTGTTTCTAAATTATTTTACTTAGGATAATGGTGTCCAGCTCCATCCATGTGGCTATAATGAAATGATTTTGTTCTTTTTTTCTGGCTGCATAGTATTCCATGTTGTATATGTACTATATATATTTTTAATACAGTCAACCATTAATGGACACTTTGGTTGATTCAGTGACCTTGTTATTGTGAATAGTGCTATGATAAACATACGTTGCAGCTGTCTTATTAATATAAAGATTTATTTGCCCTTGGATAGATACCTAGTAGTGGGATTGCTGGGTGAAATGATAGTTTTTAGTTGTTTGAGAAATCTCCATACTGTTTTTCCTACAGATTGTACTAATTTACATTTCCACCAACAGTGTATAAGCATACCTTTTTCTCCACATCCATGCCAACATCTTTTGTTTTTTTTGATTTTCTAATAATAAAATGTCTTAGTTATCTTAATTTTACAACAATCACATAACATTTTATGGGTTGATTTAGAACATTTGAAAGCCTTTTTGTAATACAGCATATTGCAAATACAGCATTTTGGGAGATGTGGTCATTCAAAGTTCATTTTTCTAATTGAACATTATTTTGTTGTCAACAATAGTACTTTCTTTACTGATCAAACCTTGACTAAATCCACATGCCTTTCTATCTTTCATCTGAGGGGAGAAGCTCTTCTTTGTAATGGGCAGTCAATCTACTCCTATTCATTGAATAGGATCATATTATACAAAAGATACTATATTTTCAATAGTAATGCTAATAAAACAAATAATAAAACAACCCAAAAACTAAAGGAACTGTAATGATTCATCTTTTTATGTAGAAACAAACAGTAGTTAAGCAAAATTTTTAAATGTTAAACTTGTGTGATATCAATAGTACTTATGTGATTCCCCCCATCTTCATCAGCTCTCTTGTTTCTGAACTCGAAGTAAAGAATTCTGTACAAGAATTCTGTACCAGCCTGGCAACATGGTGAAACACCATTTCTACTAAAAAATACAAAAATTAGCCAGGCTTGGTGGTACAGGCCTGTAATCCCAGCTACTCAGGAGGCTGAGGTGGGAGAATTGCTTGAACCCAGGAGACAGAAGTTGAAGTGAGCTGAGATCGCTCCATTGCACTCCAGCCTAGGCGACAGAACAAGACTCCATCTCAAAAAAAAAAAAAAAAAAAAAGGAATTCTTTACATCTTTTAGACTGCTTTTAGTCTGTCTTGTGTTGATTACAAAATGTTTCCCCTGTCTTGGATTTCTTTAAATTCTCTGACTTATAACAGTATCTTACGTTTTCTGTATGCTTCAGAGGGTCTAACACAGCCTTTACCTAAACAGTAGGGCCTTATGTACTTTAATTGATTGGGGAAAAATAATCACTATTGCTCAAATTTACATTATAAAGGTTTATATAATAATTTATTAATTAATTTGAATATGAGTTTGTCATAGAGTTAAATGCCTTTAGACTTCTTTATACACAGAAAAATGAATTTGGAACACTTCTGAACTGGAACAGAGATCAGTGCTCAATTAGTTGTCTTTGGCTTGGCCTACCAGGTTATAGTCTCTCTGTTCCTTTCACCAGAATGGCAGGGATGGAAATCACCGTAAAGTTTAAAATGTACACTAAGAAAGAGTGCTTTTCAGCTCTTTCTGAGGAGAAGCTGGGAGAGTCAGAGAACAATGCCTGTCTCCATGGGGGTGAGTGTTGGCTCTGATAGCTTTCTGTTTACCTCCTCACTGAAGGAGATTTCTCTCTTTGCTTATGGGAGTCCAATTCTGTTTTCTGAAAGTCCAAGATGCATTATAATAGCATGTTTGCAGTCTAATTCACAGTATAATTGCTAGTGGTTCAATTAAAACCACTGTTTTGTAAATTAAAGATTCTAACGGAGCTTCTCCTGCAGAGTAATAGCAAAATCGCTTTTAAGCTTACCTTACAAAGAAGCAAAAAACCCAAAAAACAAAAATACCACACATACACGTTTAATAAAAAACCTTTCTGGGGGAAAGATTTTTCCCTCCACTGAATTAGAAGGGAAAGACTAGGTTATGTACTATGTAATATTTATCTTTTAATTCCCGGAACCTAGCATAGTACATAATATAACATCAACACATGAAAATTTTAGGTTAAATGAATAAATGATTATACTTCAGTCTTGGATACTGTTTAGTGTGTCATCTTTCAACTAAAGAACTCACACAAGGAGAAATTCAAGAATAAGAAAGCTAAATGTTCCACAAATCAATAGTACACTGAGATGTAAACATCTACATTGTTCAAATGATCCAGTTGAAATTTGTTGTAATAAACCTAAAAGAAACAATTTATTGCCGCACTTTCATTATGACTTGAGATAATCCTCTTGAATAGAAGATTCAACTCGGTAATGTGATCTTAAGAGTCATAATGTGGGCATAGATATTTTACAAAACATTGTCATAAATTGCTGGTCAATAGCAGATACTTCCTTTTTCTTTCCTTTTTTTTTTTTTTTTTTTTTGAGAAAGGGTCTCACTGTGTCGCCCAGGCTGGAATGTAGTGGCTCGATCTCGGCTCACTGCCACCTCCACCTCCCGGGGTCAAGCGATTCCCCTGCCTCAGCTTCCCAAGTAGCTGGGACTACAGGTGTGGCCACCATGCCCAGCTAATTTTTGTATTTTTTGGTAGAGACGGGGTTTCACTGTGTTGTCCAGGCTGGTCTTGAACTCCTGGCCTCAGTGATCCACCCTCCTTGACCTCCCAAAGTTCTGGGATTACAGGTGTGAGTCACCACCCCCAGCCTAATAGCAGATATTTCATTCTAGGCATGAATACTTTTTTCTTAGTCAATTGATATTATCGACAATTTATACAGATTAAACCAAGAGTTTGCCACCATTTCCTTTTGTTTTAGTTACCTGATTTTAGTACCAGAGTAAAAAGCAGATAATATCAGTTTAGAAATGTCGTCTATCCAATATCAAATATAATACAAGTAACTTTTAATGTTCATATAACCTTAAAGATATAAACATCACTTGATTTATAATGTCAGTTCCCATGGGAAGGACCATGGTTTGGAAAACACTAAAAGTTTAAGGTACATCAACATCTGCCTGGTTCATGCTTCAGAAATGTTTGATCGTGATGATTTTCCAAGAAACAATTGATGCCCATTGGTACTTTATAGCAATCATCTAAATAAATCTTAACTGGTGTTCTATTTATTTACCATTTTTCATTCTGTTCTTTTTTGTAATGCCTTGCTTATTCCTCATTTAATAGAAATAAAATATATTGTCTCTCAGATTGATCTAATTGATCAATCTAATAGCAATTATCAATATATGCATATTTATATATACGTGCAAAACACTTTCAATATGGTATTGATGGATTGTACCTCATTTATTTTTCACCCTAAATAAATAAATTTTGAATTTGCAAATGAAGAAATTGAAGTTCAGAGAGACTAGTTTATGTCTCTGATTATCTGAGCCCCAATAACGTATAGTATGCACCAGCAAGAACCTAGGTTGTGGAGGCAGACTGCCTGGGTTTGAAATCCGGCACAAGTGTGTTTTGGAGGATTAAATTAGTTAATTTATATATAGCATATAAACAGTAGCTGGAACGCTGCATGGGCTTAATACATGGTAGATTTTATTATTGCTACCTCAGTGTTTCCCAAACCCTGGTATTTGGAATCACGTAGGATGCCTAAGACTGCAGATTCCTGGGCCTTATCCTATATCCACTGAATCAGAATCTCTAATTTACAAATCATGGCTGTACTCTTTCCAATAAGTGATGTTGACCTTTTTAAAAAATATTTTTTTCTTTGCAAAAGGGTTATGTTTTGCTTTAACAGGTCCCTTTCTTACAACACATCTTATTTATGCCCACAAAATGCTTAATTAAGGAGGATAGTAGGTTTAGAACTTTGAATGCAAAAAAGACTTGTAAAATTTTAAATTTGCATACTTGTGCAAAATTGATAGTTTATTAGGGTAAAGTAGAAAAGATGGCTTGTACAAAAGAGCCCAAGCCCATTCATTATTTACTGAAAATCTGCTATTTGCTAAATACCTCTCATTCACGCAGCACATACTGGCTGAGTGGCCCACAGGGACCCAGCACTCTGCTGTCTACCAGGGTTTCAAAGATGAGAAAGGCCAGACTCCTGCACTCACGGCAGTTATAATAATGAAATGCTCCTTTCAAGGATGAATATTGAATTAAATATTTTATTAACAAAAGTGAATTGTGAATATTCACTATTGATCAAATCTGTATGTAAATTACAGAAATGATGAGGGATTTACAGAAACTGCTTTTGAAAGTCTCCCAAATTGATTCTGGTTATAAGGCCACTAAATTGTATTGCAATTAATTTGCAAAAACAATATAGGAATACATATTTCTGCACATTTCTAGGATAAAGTCAATAATACTTATTAGTCTTAAGACAACTATAACCTTCACAGTGTTGGTAGTGACCCAGGTACTGTTCTAAGCATTTTTCACAGGTGGGTTTTATTAATCTTCCAAAAACAACCATGTCAGGAAAGTACTATTATTGTCTCCATTTACTTGTGAGGCTAAGCTACAAGGAGATTCAGCAATCCAAGGCCAGCTACATATGTAGAGGAAGCAAAGTCAGGATATAAATCCAAATAGGCTTACAAACAAGTCTATTCTGGTCTAATAATTCGGTTACATTTAAATCTATACTCAAGTGATTCATCTGTTTCAATGCAGCTTTACATCACTGGGTATTGTGAAGCTAGGTGCTGGTGCATTTTCTTAAAATAATTCTGTCTCTTGAACTTTCAGCCTCAATTATGACAAACTGATAAGATTTTTACTCATACACATACACACACACACACACACACACACACACACACACACACACACAAATAACATCCAGAATCTGTTTTATCTCTTTTTATTTCAAGGTCTGTCATTTTTTGAAAAGTGTAGTTCATAAAATGTTTTAATACTGTCTGTGAGTGAAAAATATCCAATGTATTTTGAAATGTCAACTATGTTAGGAAGAAACCTATGGACGATAAAGGAAGCTTTGCAGTGTTTCTGATGAGCAGCTGTTCTGGTTGGTTGAATCCTTCCTTAGGATGACCGTTATTGAGTCTTTATACTTCTGCACTGGCATTATGCTTCCTCTGAAAGGAATTCAGAATTATCCAAATGAATGGAAAGAGATCTATCTGTGTGCAATTGGATAATTCCCAGTGTAACAGCTGTGTGGGGCTAACACTGAAAGTGACTCTTGAAATGAGATTATGTGACTTTGTGTTCCCTTCATTTTGTATTTCAACTTTCCCAAGTGTTTGAGAACTGCATCCATTAAATTGTTCCTATTAGATTAGTTCAAAATGTCTTTAGTTTACTGCAGTGGTAAAGCTAATATGCATATTTTCTTTTCCTCCTTGACAGTTATATGTTTGGGGAGAAAAAGAGACATAGTAAAATACATTTCTCCGTGAATTATTTTACTCTTAATTTTCTTCCAGGGTAGCACAGAATTATTCAAGTTAAAAACATAAAATTTAGTTTCAGAAGATTACAATTTTAAGTTCATCTTAGAGTAAAGGGGGCATAGCCCTTATTAAACAGCTATGGTGGGCCAGATATTGAGTTGCATATTGATAAAACTTTACATTTATTATTTTGTTTGTGTGTGTATGTATGTATGTACGTATGTATTTTATATTTCACTCAATCTTCCAACCTACTTGAGATTTAGAAAGTTGAGAAACCAGCCAGTAAATGCTGAAGCGAGACCTCAAACCTGAGCCAGGTCTATTTGAGCCCAAAGCCCTTGACCTTCTTATAGCATACTAGCATTGCTCTTCTGTTCGTGAATTGTCATCTTGGTCTTACATAGAGGAGGAAGAGGCAGTTCCTTGGTGGGATCTGAGAGGCACACAAAAATTTACCTATAATAGTGCTTAAGTCCACACCCCTTTCTCTGTTCAATGCAGTCTTCAGGTTAAGATTGTGTTTCTCACACTTGAGAAATCACAGACCCCAGAGAGTATCTTCAGACTTCCAGCATTCCGTGGAGCCTAATGTGAAAAAACCACCTTAAAAACTGAACTCTATAACTTTGCTTAATGGTTTGATGCAGCGTAATGGAAAATGAAAATTTACACCGTTACAGAAACACTGAAATCATGTATTATTTGGTTTTAAGAGGATTCCTAATAAGCCATTAGTAATTTTCTATTATTATGATTGAAACAAAAGCACACATTTTAAGAGTCTCAGAGAAGCTGAGGATTTCTTAGTATGAAAACTTTTGAAAATTGAATTTCATTTCTAAGAAACACTGTTAACACCAAACATATCTCGATAGGTTGCACATTACTCAGAATTATTCATTAAAAAGTTAACACTGATTAATTGTGAGATTCATTAGTAAATATCTAGAACAATTCTTAGGGAATGAGGCACAGGCTAGATATATTTCCCTATGGGAAAGATGTCTGAACTATCAGCTCAAGGGATATTGGTAAGGAAACAGATAAGAAAACTCAGACTTGGGCCAAATGTGTCGCCCCTGAGCTGATTGTACAGGTCTCAAATTCAGCAAGAGGAACAGGTTGCAAGCTTTCATCTATGCTTTGGAAAACAAGATTTTTCCTAGGCACCATCTTCTGCTTCAGATTTGTTTATTTTACAATTAACAAAGGGGTACTGTTTCCCCTGAATCCTTAAGCAAAATTACTCAAAAAGCCTAATACCCTTTTGTTAATTGTAAAATAAACAAATCTGCAGTGAAGAAATAAATGCCTCTTTTTATTGGGTGGTGGTAGGGTGTCTTTTTAATCACTTGTTCTAGGCCATCTGGGTATAATTTCCTCTTGCGTTCACTATAACTTTAAAAGTAAGCAGACATTGCACTGCATATTTTTGTGTCTCCGATTCTTGTGGGGTTTGTAAATGATTGTTAAAAGAACTGTAAATTCAATTACACCGACCTATAAATTGAACGAATACCAATGAGGTAAATTTTTTTCTTTAAGAACTAAGACGTACTCTATATAGATGCATTCCCTTTTGTTTTCCATGAGCAGAATTATCAAAATATAAAATAAAATGTACCCCAGAAATTGTGAATCAAAATAAAAAGGAAATAGGTATGCAATTTACTTATGTAGAAACGTAACTTATGGTTAAAAAACCCACAAAATTTAGACTTCAAATTGTGGGAGAGAAAAGAACAAGAGCATATATGAATAAATAAAGGCAGTAAAACAACTAGGACATCCACAGATAAGATGCTTCTGTTGGAGTCCTTGTACAAAAGAATGGGAGCATTGTGTGAGAGAATTTCAGGTTGTGATGTGGGCCTGTAGACACACCAGGGAAACAATATGACAGAATGGGGTCCTGGGGGAAAACATGTATTACATCTGACTAATGTTAACATTTTCAAAGGGTTTTGTGGCAAATGTTAAATTAGGAAACACAAATGCAAATTTTCAAGTTCCTGTAAATAAATTAGTATAAATAAAGATCAGAAGTTATTAGCAGTTTGAATGTAGGATCAGTTTTGAAACTAATTTAAAAGTCTAGTCATTATTTTGTCCTTCACTGTGCGAACTTGAGTCAGTCTAAATGGCAACTGAAAAGATGAATTAGATAATAGTGACATGAGCTAGAGGTTGAATGACTCCAGTTGTGATATGTGTGTGTGTGTGAAAGAAAGGCATGACACAACAGTATCCTGCTATTTTTCTTTTGTCACTTTAATCAAACCTGTAGGAATAAGATGATTACATTTTTGAAAGGCAGACAAGAAGTGTTCGTGTTTGGAGTGTGCCAAGTTCCCTGCAGACTAAAGTGCATGATTTTCATTGTTGAATTATGGCTATGATATGGTTACGATTATTTTTCTTTCATTTCATCTTGTAAAACTTCTAATACAAATTCATATATTAATTGGAAAATAATAAGAACAAAAAGGCAGTGGCATTACTTCTAGTGAGGTTTTTATCTTTCAGCAATAATAATTTTTTTCTTTATATCTACATTAAAATTTTTATTCATCTTGGAATATTTAGTTTTAGTCTTGTCCTCCTTTGTATACAATACCTAAAAATGAAATAAGATTTTTAAAAAATCTTTATGGGCAACATTTAAAGTAAAATGTGAAATGTGAGCTAAATTTCTTTTGCAGTGTTGTAGAGAACCAGTGAATTTACCTGCATGAATGCAGATCATATTGACAGAAATAGGTACTCTATACTTTGTGATGTTGAATAATAGTTCCATTATAGAAAATAGAGATTATACTTAATTCATCAGATTATTAGATACTCAGGGTCCTTGGCATATTTCATGTTTCTATTATTCAGGTCTGTTGCCTTTCTTTCCCGCACTAACAACAGAGCCTGCATCACACGTCAATCATATCAATATTCCATAAATTTGGCCCCTTTTTTCCTGTTCTTAGTAGGCAGTAAAGTGTACATTCTAAATAATGAAATAGCATTAGGTAACGAAAATAGGGCTTAAAAGCGTGGGGGAAGATTATACATAGGAGACCACTGTAGCAGATAGTCAGGGTACACCTAAAGTTCAGTGTGTTGCAATTATCTCTTTGAGAACTATTTAATGTTCCACAATTCCACTATCTTAATACTTTTACCCTTTAAAGCAATTCCTCTAGTCAGTGTGATATGCCCCCACTGAAAGATTCCATAGCTTTGACATAACTACCATTAAATGGAAATGACTGATTTTTCATAATAATCTATATATGTGAGATATTATATATAAATGTACATTTTATTCTTCTATAGTTAGCTTACCATGATCCTTTGAATGAAGCACAAGATAAGATCTACACTATCTACTGTAGCCTTGTAGTATAGTTTGAAGTCAGGTAGCGTGATGCCTCCAGCTTTGTTCTTTTGACTTAGGATTGACTTGGCAATGCAGGCTCTTTTTTGGTTCCATATGAACTTTCAAGTAGTTTTTTTTGTTGTTTTTTTTTTTATTATACTTTTAAGTTTTAGGGTACATGTGCACATTGTGCAGGTTAGTTACATATGTATACATGTGCCATGCTGGTGCGCTGCACCCACTAACTCGGTAAACTATCGCAAGAACAAAAAACCAAACACCGCATATTCTCACTCATAGGTGGGAACTGAACAATGAGATCACATGGACACAGGAAGGGGAATATCAAGTAGTTTTTTCCAATTCTGTGAAGAAAGTCATTGGTAGCTTGATGGAGATGGCATTGAATCTATAAATTACCTTGGGCAGTATGGCCATTTTCACGATATTGATTCTTCCCACCCATGAGCATGGAATGTTCTTCCATTTGTTTGTATCCTCTTTTATTTCATTGAGCAGTGGTTTGTAGTTCTCCTTGAAGAGGTCCTTCATGTCGCACTATTCACAATAGCAAAGACTTGGAACCAACCCAAATGTCCAACAGTGATAGATAGGATCAAGAAAATTTGGCACATATACACCATGGAATACTATGCAGCCATAAAAACTGATGAGTTCATGTCCTTTGTAGGGACATGGATGAAGCTGGAAACCATCATTCTCAGCAAACTATCGCAAGGACAAAAAACCAAACACCGCATGTTCTCACTCACAGGTGGGAATTGAACAATGAGAACACATGGACACAGGAAGGGGAACATGACACACCAGGGCCTGTTGTAGGGTGGGGGGAGGGGGGAGGGATAGTATTAGGAGATATACCTAATGTTAAATGACGAGTTAATGGGTGCAGCACACCAACATGGCACATGTATACATATGTAACAAACTTGCACGTTGTGCGCATGTACCCTAAAACTTAAAGTATAATAATAAAAAAAGATCTACACTATCTATACTATACAACACTGATTTAATCTTTAATAATGCCTTCCTATGCTTAGTTGGTGTTTTGTTTTGTTTTGAGATGTAGTCTTGCTCTGTCGCCCAGGCTGGAGTGCAGTGGCCTGATCTCAGCTCACTGCAACCTCTGCCTCCTGGGTGCAAGCAATTCTCCTGCCTCAGCCTCCTGAGTAGCTGGGATTACAGGTGCACGCCATCACACCCGGCTAATTTTCGTATTTTTAATAGAAACGGGGTTTCACCATGTTGGTCAGGCTGGTCTCAAACTCCTGACCTCGTGATCCTCCCACCTCGGCCTCCCAAAGTGTTGGGATTACAGGCGTGAGCCACCGCGCCCAGCCCCCCTTGTACTTGGTGTTCTTAATGCTTTATTTATGCTCATTTACTAAACTAGAAAAGCAATCATCAAGGATCTGTTTAGGGATTTGTGCATAGCATGCAATGATCCCCTTCCCTGACTGTCCAATCCATTAACTGAATCCCTGTATTTATAATAAAATAATACTAGGTCACAAAAGCTAGAAGGACTTTAAAAGCATAGGTGAAAACTACACATGAGGAAAGCACTGCCTTCAGTTGTTTGGACAGGGAGAATTCTTTACCAAATCTGAGCTAATTAAATTTTTTTTTCTAGAAATTTGGAATAAAAATGGAAAGGACTTTACCTGGTTCAGTTCAGTTTGGTTTAATCTCAGTATTTAAATCAGTATCTGCAAAGTGACTATCTTTGAGTCCCCCTTGCAATACAGGGAAGCTGGACTGTAGGAAAATATGAAGAATGTAGAAGAATGAAGAAGTAGGACCAAAAAGGTCCTACTGTCTGGCCCGGATGGTTCTTCATTCAGTTCTCGATCTCTGTCTCTTTCTGAGGTCTCTGCATTCTTGAACATACTATTTATGATGTAACCCTGAGTGCTAGCTGTAGTGGGTTTCTGTTAGTTTCAACTGAATAATTATAAAAAGTGATTTTTTTGGTTGTTATTGTGCATCTATTATTTTTAAGATTAAAATGATTGAGATGAACGGTTGTCACTTCAGTGTGTGAAATGGAATGGAAAAGCTGAACTTTTCCAGGATCTCTGCCATATTTCCATGAACCTAGGCTTCATCTTGATGGTATCTAGATCCACAAAATTTTTTATAGAAAAGATATATTGTTTGAACAATCTATTATTTTAGGTACCATTGAAACAATTTTAAAGATTTTCTTGAATGGTCATGTGTTAAAATGAATGGGACTTAGTTTAATAAGATGATTATAGCTTTTGTTTAAATAAAATATAAGAATATAAGGAAAGACACATAAATATTAAATACATAGAATGTTTCATCTCATTTGGGAGTGATATATTCGAATATTGTCATTTGCCTGACATTATTGGGTAATTTCACAAATCATCTCATGTAAATAAAAATTTCTAGCTAACTGAAGCATATAACTAAATGACAATAAAAATCATCCACTTTGAAGGAATATTTTCTTAGATTTATTTCATACCAACTTTTTTTCTCTTAAAACATGTTTTTCCCCTGATTTTAAGAGCAATACCTGTTCATTAAAGAAGAACTCTATTGTGAAATAAAGTATGAAGAAAAAAATTAGAATCACTTACATAATCTCAATTGCAGAAGTAAGCACTGTTAATGACGTTTGGAGCATGGTTTTCATTTATAACATTCCGTGTGTGTGCATGAGTGTGTGTGTGTTTATGTGCTGGTGTTGGCTGGCACTAAAACCTCCAAGAAGAAGTCACACTCTTCTCCCTGGATAAAACTGGGTACCACGTGCATGCAGGGCCAAGGGAACTCCCTGTTAGTGTCATGGTAGTAGAACATCTTGGTATAGGTTTATCCAAAATGCAGTTTGAGATTAGAAATACTTTTTAGGAAAAGGCAGCAGGAATTTTTGTTTTAAACTGGTGGTGCTTGATGTTACCTCTGTTTGTGACCCCAAGCATTTCAGTAAAGTCTACTCACAAATGCTTTGTGAGGGTGGAATTTCACATCTGGCTCTCTGCTATGTGGGGAGAGATGCAACACTAAATGCAGTAATCTTTGGGACTTTCCAAACCATGGAAATGGTGGTTCAAGGAACTTCTATCTAGACCTCAGGGACTAGGGAGACTGCAGGTGAGATCTGAGATATATGTGTTTGTTGAGCATTGCTATGTACCTGGCACTCGCTAAACAGTTTACATGAATTATCTCACTTGATTTCTGTAATAATCCAATGTGGTTAGTGGTAGACCTGGAATTCAAATATAAACCATCTGTTTTATGAATCAATCTCTCTGTTTACTATCTATTTTTCCATACATATGTCACAAAGAATATACTGTTCTATTTTTTCTTCTTAATAATGTTGAAACAAGTTTGATATATTCATATAATTTTTTTGAAAATACGATTATTCCTTTCTACATAGTATGTTGGTAAAATATGATTTTAAAATACAGATGTTGCATATTTAAGTATTTTTTTGCTGCCATAAATAATAGTGTAATAAATGCCCTAACATCATAATGAAGTGAGCAGATTTTGTTATGAAACTACACAATCTTTAGTGTATTGTGTACAATGATTTATTCTTTAGTAGTTATGTAATTTGTAGCAACTCCCCTAGCCTCTTTGAATCTCAATGTCTTTATCTTCGAAATGGGAAAAATAATTTTATAATAAAATTGTTAGGTACTATTTCCAAAATACTAAGCTGGCATATGCTGGAGTATTCAATAAATAGCATCTACTTTTGTATTAAAAATTATAAATATATTTATTTACATTACATTTTTAGTATGTCTTTATGCAAATTTCAGATTTTTTTTAACAACAAAATTCTAACAAATGGAAGTTCTTAATGTAGGTTTTAGTCTGTATTACAAAATTTTCTCAAAAAAGATTGAGAAAATTAATGTCACCATTGATGATATTTGAGGGGACTTATTTTCTAAATGCTTGATAAAGTTGGGTGTCATTATTAGAAAGAGGTACTTTCTGACAAGGGTACAATATTTTACCTTTTTAACTATTTAATATAAGGTTGAAAATATTCTATATACCTGTTGACTGTTCATATGTTTTATTTTATGGAATGACTGCTTATATTTTTGTCTGTTTTTAAAATTTGGTTTATTTTTTCATGTTGATTTGTAATTAAACTTTATATTTATTTCCAGTCATATATAGTGAAATGGTTTTTCCTAGCTGTCATTTGCCTGTTAATTTTGTTTTCATACAGAAAATTAAAATTTTTTCAGGCCTATTTTTGTCTTTAAATTTTTTCCTTTGTTTTTGTGCTTAGCCATATCTCCTTTGGCCAAATAAATACATCATTACATAAATAAATAAGCATATATAGTATCTTTAGCATGCCTTCAGATTTTACATGTCAATATTTACTATTTTGTATGGTAAGTTAAATAATGGTCCCTGAAAATATCCAGATCCTAATTCCTGGAATCTGTGAATATTGTCTTATGTGAAAAATATGTGTTTTGGAGATGTGATTAAATGAAGGGTTTTGAGATGTGGAGATTATCCTGGATTGTCCATGTGGCTCTGTCGTCACAATTGTCCTGGTAAGAGGGATGCAAGAGGAGAAGGCATGTGAAGATGGAGCTGGGAGAGATTTGAAGATGCTAGGCTGCTGGGCTTTAAGATGGAGGAAGGGGCCAAGTACCAAAGAATGCAAGGAATGGAGCTCTGGAAGCCTGAGGAGGCAGAGAAATGGATTTTACTCTAGAGCCTCCAGAAGGAGCTTGGCCCTGCGAACACCTTAATTTTAGCCTAGCGAAACTAATTTTTCCTTCTGACGTTCAGGATTGAGGGAGAATAAATGTGTGCTGTTGTAAGTCACTGACTTTGCAGTAATTTATTACAGCATCCATAGAAAACTAATATATATTGATAATGTGTTGTGAGAGTCGATAAAATGCAGGGACTTAATTTTATTTTTTCAAATAACCAAATGATTAAGCACTGTTTATTGTGTAATACAAAAGTTTCAAACTGACCTGAAATGTCATCCTTATTTTGTACTAAATCCCTAAGTATAATTCATTTCTTTATTCTCTTTTATTGATAGGGCTATAAATTTTGGATCAGGAATAGAGTTGAATATTTTTATTTTATAAATTGTAACATCTGGTAAGAAGGCACCTACTCCCTGCTTACATTTCTCCTACCACCAATATGCCTTTACATCTTTTTATTAGCCTCAAACATTAATACTACTTCAAGATGAATGTTAAAACATATTTGCCTTTTGAATAAACAAGTTCCTGAAATTAAGATATACATTTTTCCCTATTCCTTCAATTTCCACTTTTATTATTTCATATTTCCATCTTTTCTTAGAAATCTTAAGTGCTGTTTTTATTTTACATGTAGTAGATTTACTTTTATCTTTTACTATTTAATAAACTTTTTAAGTCTATAAATTTATATCTCAGTATGGCTGTGATTCATTATTTAAAGTGCTATTTTGGTTTCTTTTCATTATTTTTAAATAGTTTTATATTAAATTTTTGATTTCCTCTTTGCCTCAAGCTCTTTTTTTATATTTCAAAATATATTTATGTAAATCTTTGTTTCTAATGATTAATTTTTGCTATTAGCATATATTTATTTATCACTATACTAGCAAATGTGGCTTCTATAATTTTTACTTTTCTGTAATCTACTAATTTTGATGGTACTTAATATATAGTCAATTTTTATAAATGTTCCATAAAACATATACAAAAAAATTTATTCTCTTTGTAGCATAATTAATTTTATATCTTAAAATTCATTAGGTATAATATTCAAATCCCATATATCCATATTTTAATGATATTTTTATTACTTATTAGTACTTATTACTTTAATTATACTCTTACTTTTTTTTTTTTTGCCCTCTTTGAATTCTTAGAGAATTCATGGTTTATTGTATCAATTTGTTATCGACCATAGATTATCTTGTTAATTTTTGGTATCTGTCATTTTATTCTCCCCAACCAGGTGGAAATGTACCCTGTTTAGGCCCAGGACCTACCTTAGCAACCTTGATTGGCTCACAAGCCAGGTTGCTGAAGACTTGTTTCCCCAGCAGCTGGTGTCCCTACCTCCTGCCTAGCCCTTTTCCTTTTGCTTTGTCTGTGCTTGGGAAATACATGTTATACTCTGTAGATCAGATTTGCTGGCAGTAAGAACAGAGATGCGTAGAGCCCAGCGTGCTGGAGGGCTACTTCTAATGATACTCCTGTATAAACCAAGGGTAATATTTTAAAACTCTATAATTTTTAATTATATGTGTGGATTTGATATTATATTAGTTCATGGATAAACATTATAGATTTAAATATTAATTATGAATTCAGTTATTATAAAGCCAGTTCATTAAATTCTTTTCAATTTAGTTGCTTGTTTTATAGAAAATTAATATATACCTGCTATTTTGTTTGTTCCTTTCTTAAATAGATGCTCAACCCCTTGGTTGGAACCATTGCTATGTTTCTTTTAGATTTGTCTCTTCTTTCTCCCTCTTAAGGACAAAGAAGGGACCTGTACCTTGTACTTGTAAGAAGGTGAAATTTCAATAGACAAACACGGAGAAAAGCACATTTAATGTATAAAGTCAATAATTTTTTAAAAAAAGAATGAGAAGGAGGAGTAGGGGAAGGTGGAGGAGGAAATTGACACTATTTAGCAATGAATGGGTAGCTTAAAATTCTCTGTGGCTTTGTAAACATGTATATTCATTTCTCTCCTCATCTGCATTGTTGAATTCATTTTGCTGTGTTTAGACTTGAGATGTTTCCCTCGCTCTCTTTTTTTAGCTTCTTGAGTTAAAGCTTAGCTTATTTGTATTAGTTTTCTTGTTTTACAATAAATGTCTTCAAAGCTATGAAATTTTCTTTTCTTTCTGTACTTTAGTTACATCCCACACATTTTCATAATTTTTTATTTGGAAATAATTTTAACTTATGGAAAAGTTTAAAAATAAATATAATACAAGAAAGACGTATATATTCTTTACACAAATTTACCTATTGTTAATAGGGACACAAACATATATAAGTATATGCAAATATGTGTGTGTGTGTATGTTTGTGTATGTGTGTGTGCATTTTATGGATAATATATACAGTTGACTTTTGAACAACGTGACGGTTGGGGCACCCACCCCCAACTCAGTTAAAAATCTGAGTATGACTTTTAACTCCCTCCAAAATTGATTAACACATATTTTATATGTTATATGCATTATATCCTATATTCTTTCAATAAAGAGAAAAAATGTTATCAGAAAAATCATAGAGAACAGAAAATACATTTACCACATTGTACTGTGTTTCTCGATACTGTAAGCTTACATTGTCTGTTTAGAAGATGAATTGTCTGTCTGAATTGGTGAGCAACTGTGGCTGCAGACCTCAATCTATGGAACATATCAAGCTATCCAAATTTTTCTTGTAATGTCACGACATTTCTATGCCTCTTGAGAGCACTTCCAGCATTGCCAGTGGCACGGGTACGTTGGCGTTATTCAGGGTTTATGGTATTCACTAAACATGATGGAGAATCGTGAATAATCTCTTTTTACTGCAATAGGCAATTTAGTGGAGAGTTGTGCTGTTTAGGTAGAGATGATTAGCATCACATGTCGCTTCAAGTGAATACTCACAACGCTTGAGCTCACTGCATTAGCAAGAGGAGGTGGCTATGAAATTATTACAGTGGATTAGTATGTACTATAGTCAATTTTATGCAGTTATGATTTAATACAGCATCTTTAAGTTTATTTACATTTCTCTCCACTGCAAATGGAGCTATGTACAGTCTGTGTGTGTGTAAGTTTTGATACATTTTAATTTTTATAATAGATTTATATATATTTTATTGTAGTAAATGATAAAATAGACTAGTATTTACATGTATTTTAGGCATTCACAACATGCCTAAATATAAGGCTACATGGTTCATCTGCAAGTTTTTTCAAATTGTTACAAATCAAAAAATTTTCCAATATGATTATTTAAAAAATTTACATGTAATGGACCTGTGTAGTTCAAAATCATATTGTTCAAAGGTCAACTGTACTTCTTTTCTGAAGCAAAATGCATAAATCATGACTTTTTACTCCTAATTACTTCAGTGCATAGTTTCTAAGAATAAGCGAACATATATACACTGTGTAAATCAATATCTGGTTTACAAAAAAATGTCCCTTATACCTTCTTAGAGAAACTTGTTTGCAAAAAGGACAAAAGCTCCAGCATGATCTCATATAGAGACAGGGATTTGGGAACGGTTCATATCAAAATCTTAGTTAGGGCAAGGGCAAAAATAGCATTGTCCCCAAAGAGAATGTTGACAGAGCAGAGTTGAGTAATAAGGGTTGAATATAGAGAATACTTATGTCTACGGTCAGGGATATAAGGCAGAAAACATGAAATATTGAACATAATCATAGGAGCATAATGTTTCAAAAAATAGTGCAAAATAGCTTTTGGACAAAGGAAGGTTAGTTTTTGAAGAGGTTAAATTCTGTAGAGTGGGCATGGATAGAACTAGAATGGCAAAGGATTAAGGAGTAAAGATGCAGAAAAAGCTTTGTAGAGTATGCTTTCAATGAATATGGCAATGAAAAACCTAGCATAGTGGCTTAAGAGAGTACAAGTTATAGAGGGTATTTGATTGTTCATAGGTTGGGGAAATTTTGGATATGTGTAGTCATGTGTATAGACAGAGGAGGAGGAGAAACTTAAGGTTAAGGAGGGAGTACACATAATTAAAGAAAAACATCTTCGACTATGAAAGAAAATATGGTCTCATTTGGAGAGTCAGCCTTGGATGAAGGGAATAATTATTTCTTGATGGCAGGAAGAACATAGGAGGGAATGGATGGACGAATGTTCAGAGCATTTTGATGTTTTTAGAACACTGAAGGGCTTATGTTAAATGGTCTTAGTAAAGATAGGCTAATCCATAGAGAATTAAAAGGGTAGAGAAAGTCCAGCTGATATTTGTGAAAATTGGAAAAATCTTTGGAATATGGGCTTTGGGGAAAAGTAGGTTTTAACTAGGGATAGGTAGAAGAATTGTTCAGAAGAAATGAGAGTCTCAGTCAGTGTAATGGAACAAAGTGATCCCGTTTTTTGCTTTTCTCCAGAACTACTTGGCAACTGGAAAATAGGAGGAAATTGGATGATTTGGTTTATTTAAAACTAATGTTAAATGGGAGGATATTCTTAAACCATATATTGAAATGCTTAAAATAAATTTTGCGTTTATTTTGGGTGAGTGAAGTGGAAGGCTGAGAAAGTTTGACCAAGTATCCAAACTTATTTAACTTACACAAACATATGTTGAGAAACTAAGAAAGAAAATATATAGTTTGGCAAAAATATGCATCATAAATGGAAAAAGATATTGACCAACACATTTCTTATATTAAACACGAGACTTTTAAGAATGAATTTTCTTCCCTTGTAAAATTGCAAAATTCTGCAGAGTTAAACAACCAAATAAAAATGTACCCACAAGTAAAGTCTGTTTTCAAACTGGGGACGTTAGGATACAAACAAGGTGTCACCACAGGTGAAACTCTCCTTGCATCACGATGTTAGGGGGACTATAAAGTTGAATAGCAAATTAGAGCACTAAATCATCCATATTCTATGTATGTATCACTTAAACACACCAAAAAGTAATATAAAGGATATGTTATGACATAAGGAAAATGTAGCATTGATCTTGTTACTAGCACCTTTAGTACATATGGAAATATACAGTAGGTGTAGAAATCCATGAGTTAAAGTAACTAGTAGTCTATATCTTGTTTCTGTTACTTTTAAGTTAAATTAGGGGAAAAATATCTCTAAAATAAGATTTGGCTCCAAATCCAAATGATAAACTTTGACTAAAGCCAGGCTATTTTGATGACTCATGTAATTGACACCTACTTAGCATTTACATATGTGGGTTTTACTATGCTCATTTTCACTTGTTCATGTGTCACATTGTGACTTTCCTGGTTAGTTTTTCTTGCCTGCAGACTCTTCCCACCTCTGGTTCATCCTCCATACTGCTTTAGTGTTATAATTCTGAAAGACGAACTTTCGTCCTGTCACTATGGGTACTTTAAAATAACTCTTGGTACCCCCTGCCCCCCATCTAGAGCACAGAATTCAAATTTTCAGGTGGGATATTCACTATCTGACATTATCTGTTCTCAAGTGTCCCAAACAAACTTGTCAGCCCCATTCTCCCTCAAAGTATCCTCCATTCCACTCCCTCTCTTCTTGAGCCATAATGAGTTACTTACCATTTGCATAATATATCATACTCATGGGTACACTGTTCTCTCTATGAAACACCCTTTTTCCTCCACATCATCTGGAAATCTTAGTCTTTAAGATCTACTCAGCCCAAATATTACCCTTTCTGAAGCCTCCCCTTACTCTCTAAGCAAAATGATTTGCCTTTTCTGTAACTCTGCACAGTCTTGCATGTGCCTCAATCAGAACACAGTTTTACATTGCTGTATGGTTATCTGTACAGAAGCCTGCCATTTCATTTCACCTAACTTTAATGGAACACCTATTATATGCCAGTCACTGGCCCAGGTCTGGAGAGCCAGACCAAGACCTAGTCCTTGACCCTTGCTTCATAATTCTCTTACTAGAATTCAAGCTTCTCAAGTTACTGAGCATGTGTCTCAGACAATGTGGACTACTTTCCATGAATGTTGATCCCTAGCTTTTCACCTCTTCTACTCTATTTCAACTTCCTCTCCTTGGAATGCCTTTCCTTTCTTCTAATTGAAAGGCTATATTAAGTCTTAGGTACTAATTCAAATTCTACCTCCTACTTAGAACCATAGTCTCAAATCTGATATGGGGTCTTCTTTGTACTTCCCTTATGTTACTTACTTAGTATGCTTAACATTCATGAGATTTGTGTTCTGTTTTCTCTTTGCTAAGTCTATAGTTTATATATGGATTTTTCCCAGCATGGTACACATAGCAAATAATCTATGAACATTTGTTTAATCCAATGGAACAACTTAACTCATAGTAGGAAGGCCCTCACCTTCCTACTATGTGTGAAATTTCAATAGACAAACACCCCCTTTCCCCAAAACGTCACTCATTCATACTGATTCACATAAGCCACCTGCTAATAGAAAAGTAGCAGGTGAGTTCTATTTGTGAAAAGGTACTGAGTATAATTTATTTCTTCTCCTTTTTTGAAAGATTTTTTTTACGTGAAAACTGAAGCAATGCTTTGACTTCCAAAACTTGAAATATGTAGCTGCTGATTGTTGTTGATTTCATCCTCAAATGATTGTTTCTTGATGTGACTGCCTGATTTTATCACTTTATTTTCTCCAGTTTTTAAACCAAATCTTAATTTTTAAGTGCTACTATTTTTATGCCAATATCATCCTTTATCCATACACAGATGTTTTTTTTTAGAAGATAGCTTTGTTTTTCTTCAATATAAATGCATTTAGAAGAAAACTGGCACATGCATATGTTTTACTTTCAGTATTAAACTTGGCATTACCTCCTGGGGCTGGCAGTCCCTACTATGCTTGCCTTGTCATCTGCCATTATGTGCTCTCATAGTACAGCCAACACCTGTGATCACACAAAAGACCATACACAGCAGCTGCAGGACTCAGATGTCCATGCTGAAATAAATTTCTAAAGCTGAAATATTTGGATCTGTGACTGGTTCTCTTTTTTTTAATCCTTTCAGGAACTGTTGGGACTGCCCATAGCTGTATAATGTTATGTGTTAACTGTCTAGGACCTGCTTACTCTACTATTTTCTTTGGCTGACTCTGATTCAGATTAAAGCGAGAGGTCCTCATCGGCAGCATAATGTTGTGGTTAAGGGCACAGATTTTTAATCCAAACTGCCTGCACTTGAAGCCTGGAACTGCCACTCCCTGTGTGAAGTTGGATGAGGTTTTTAATCTCTATGGGTCGCATTTTTCTCGTTTGAAAAATGGAAATAATACCACCTACCTCATTAGAATGCTATAAAGATTAAATTCATTTATATGTGTAAAGCTTTTAGAGCTGTATTTCACATGGGATGTACTATATAAGTGCTTGCTATTATTATGAGATTATAAATTCTTGAAGAACCTCAGATATTACTTAAAAGCAACTTTTTCATAATATCTATGATCACTCCTTTTCCCTGCTCATAGTTTTTTATTTCAGTTTGCATTTTTGTGGCATATGATTCTTATTTCTCCAAAACATACATAAGGGGTCATCAAAACATACTGGGCTAAGCCTGGTAAATTTAGAACAAAACATGCTAGAGATTTCCCCTCCTTTTTAGGCATCTTTAATAACATAATATACACTTCTTATATGGTTACTAACTGTTAAATGCTAAAATAAAACATACGTATTTTCCTTGTTCAAGTATAGACAACTTACTAAGTGACAAAAATTCAGCTACTCCATGAATTCCATGCATTTCCTAGGGAACAAGCATTCCTGATCATTCATTAGCGGGCCTCAGAAGCTCCTGACCACCCTCCCCCATAACTATTCAGTGATCACACATGCTCCAGTCCTTTGTTGCTTTCATCATTATTGTTCCCCATTTTTAAATTCACTTATCAAATTTCATTTGACAAGTATATATGAAACACCTCCTGTTGGCCAGGTACAATTCTAGATCCTGAGAATACAGCAGCAAATAAACAAATCAAATGTCTTGTTGTAACAGAGCCTACCTTAAATAAGTGAAGGGTAATAGAATATAAGGAGATAAAATGTGCTGTAGGTAAGAATAAAGCAAGAAAGGACAATAGGGAATATCAGGATGGAGAATGGTGTTCATCAGAGAGGGCCACATTGAGAAGGTAACATTAAGCAGTCTTGGAGGGGAAGCAGTGAGGTCTTCTTACACATGTGGCAAGAGTATTCCAGGCAAAGCAAAGAGCATGCACAAAGGCTGTGGGATAGGGTGTTCCTGGTTTGCCATCATAAGAACTTTGATTTTACACTGAATGAGCTAGGAAGCCACTGGGCAGCTTCAAGCAGAGGGGTAATTTGATGGTCAGTGAGAAACCTGCTAACAATCCAGCTTAAAGATGATGGTGCCTCTACCTTTAGTTCACTTCTTAATTGAATTAGTAAGTGTGTAAGTTGTCAAACAAAACTAAGCCATATACACAGGCCCAGTCAAGATTTTAGAAATAAGTCTAAACTCATTCTAAAGTTAAAAAGTAATGTTACTACATTGCAATTATTCCAAATTTAATGTCCAAAGCTCATATCAATAACACAAAATATAAGGCAGTAGAAAACAAAACAAAAATTATGACTTGAGATAAGTGAAAATCCATTATTTTATGTAGAGATTAACTTCAACTACCATGCATAGATAAATAGTAGAAAATTCTAAATGCTTGAGATGCCTTTGGGGAATAATTTTCTTTTCTTCATAGACATATCTCTTACATGAAAGCATAATCCCTAGTTTGATATTTCACATTTGATCAGGCTTGCAATTCTATGGTGGCCTGAAAAATGGGAAATACCATTCTTTAAATAGAAAGGCTTGAGTTCTATTTATCCAGTAATTGAAAGCAATATTTAATCATTATTGTTAAAGATATGAAAACTAATGCTTTGTTAGGTGTAGTGTAAATACCTACACTTATATTATGGATTTATAGTACTGTTTCCATGGCATCCATAGTCACCCCCTTGTGTAAATCCTGAAATAAACTTTACATATATTTATTGAGTTGCTTTTATGAATAGTTTTGAAAAGGTATTTTCATACTATGCAAATTTCATTTTCTTAGTAATGAAACACAAACCTCATAATCTTTTTCACATAAGACAATTCTATTGAAGTAATCATTTTTTCAATGAAGTTTCTAAGTTAAGGGTTGGCAAGCTCCTCCAAGTTAGGGGCTAGCCAGCTAGAAAATACTGTAGGCTATACTGTGCCTGTTGCAACTGCTCAGTACTGCTGTAGAAGTGGGAAAGTAGCCATAAAAAGAAATGTAAATAAATGAGCATGGCTCTGTTTCAATAAAACTTTATTTACAAAAAAGGCTGTTGGGCAGATTTGGTCCACAGGCTGTAGTTAGCTGGC
Organism: Homo sapiens; assembly: GCF_000001405.40. Classification (NCBI taxonomy): domain Eukaryota; kingdom Metazoa; phylum Chordata; class Mammalia; order Primates; family Hominidae; genus Homo; species Homo sapiens. Next base: position 105,765,640 of record NC_000011.10, on the reverse strand, counting down.
CCCTGTTTTAAAGGTTTGGAATGAAAACCTTCAGACCCAGGAAGATTTGAAGTTTACTGATAAACTAGACATTGTGAATGCCCAAAGGCAAAGCCTCAGACTTGGTACTATCTATGGGCTTCAGCATCATCCGTTCCACATTTGCTTCAACTTAGCTGTTCATTTTCTCATCAGTGATTTCAATATGCTGGCATCTGGGCTTCTTCAAACTCACTCTGATTTGTCTAATGTAGATGACTCTTACATACTTTAACCTTTGCTATTGTTGTTGATGCAATTCTACTGTTGTTATTGTTTAAAGGATTGCTCTATGGCTTTTTAATCTAAATATCTGTGTACAGAATTATAGTTTGGAATAGGAGTATTTCTCTATATCAGATAAGAAAAACTCTGATTATTTCTTTATCTGTTCCACTTTACACTTTGTATTAATCTGTACTGAGTTTAGCTGCATAATGGCTTTTGCTAAGTTGGGCTGCTGTTTGAATTCATTTTTTGATATTATACGGCATCAATGCTGTCTTCCTTCTGAGGGCAAATCTTAGACCCCATATAGACATATGGCTGAAGGTCATGTACTTGGTCATGTACTTTGGTCAAGTACAAATTTGGTCATGTACTTCTGGTCACATGCTACTTGGCTACAGTAACATCTGCTCCAATGGGTAGTGCTGACCTCATTCTGACAACTACATGTCTTTAATTGGTCTCTTGGATCTAGTAAGGGTAAATCTACCTTGTTCCCATGTTTTTAGACAAGAAACAATAATTTCCAGTCTAGGTGTTGCTAAGAGGACTATTTTTTAAAAAAGTAAAAAATTCCCTCTCTAAAGCTTTTTTTTTTCCTGTTTATTTTTATAAACTACCTGCCTTTTCCTGGCTACAGTAATGTGAAGGTAACATAAACAATAGGGAAGAACACAACTCACTGTCAAACTTGTCATTCTAGTTCAACAGCCATTTTGGCCATTTAAAATCTGCTAACTCTTCAATGTATTATATATAGTTCTTACGTAAATCAATATAGATTTCCAGGGTGGGAGTAGGGGGGTCTCTTTCTGATATAAATTTACTTTAGAAGGGTATTTTTAAGACTGAATAGGCAGGTAGACTCTATGGTTCCTTATACCATTTATTTCATATATAATTGAGTGAAAGCAGAAATAATGTAGGTAATATAAACTTCACAACATGAAATAACTAAAATGATTCAAATAACAAACATTTCAGGTCAAAATGCAAATAGGAATTAACATAATTCATCATGTTTAATATTAAATTACAGAATCCTGGCCAACATGGTGAAACCCTGTCTCTACTCTAAAAATACAAAAAAATTAGCTGGGCGTGGTAGTGGGCGCCTGTAGTCCCAGCCACTCGGGAGGCTGAGGCAGGAGGATCACTTGAACCCAGGAGGTGGAGGTCTCAGTGAGCTGAGATCATGCCACTGCATTCCAGCCTGGTGACAGAGTGAGACTCCGTCTCAAAAAAACAAAAAACAAAAACAAAACAAAACAAAACATTAAATTACAGAAAAAATAATCTCTTGGAATGCATCAGTGACAAAATTTCAGTGTTACTTTCAGATTCTATGTACTATTTCTGAATTGTCCTTTCAAGATTGTGTTTGGGTATTTTAAGATTCTTACAAATAGAAGAGCTTTTTAAATGAGTCATAGTTCAAATCTTTTTAAAGTGAGAATTGATAGAAATCTGACATACCCGTTGCTAAAATTCATAAGAGCTAAATGGCTCCCAATGAAGTGACAGAGAATAATGTGTACTCACATCAAATACCCATGGCATGGAATCCTTTTTGGCAGGGTATCATCTGGAAAGCACACAAAAGGTCCAGAGAGGAATGTCTCTCACAAAATTCTTTCATCTACCTTCCAAATGGCAATGACAGACCGCTGTACAGATAGGAGTTTAAGCTGTTTTTCTTTTGTAGAGGATGCTTATTTGTTATGATCTTAACCTGGCATCTATCAAAACAGAATGAAACCCTTAAAAGAAACCTTGGAAAAGGATAAGGATGTAGTCTTTTTTATGCTTGTGACTACGGTCTTTAGATAGTAAAATCTTTGCATTTGTTACCAGACAGTAGATGTTATCATATGAAGGAAAAAAACAATAAAAATCTTTAGGGCTATTGTCATCAGTTCAATCGATCCTTTCTATTCTGCCATAAATAGATGAGTCTATTTACATTACAGACTTTAAAAAAATAGCTTAAATAAATACACAGTGGTACAGAACCAACACAGAACGCTAATGACATCTTAGTGAAACACTGTCATCACACCCACATCGCCAACTTCCACGTCCATACCATCCCACGTGCCAAAGGTTTTAATCAAACCAGACTTCTTATCCTCTGCAAAACTCCATTAACTTTTTCACCTCCTTGCTTTGGTTTGTGCCACTTGCTCTACTTGGAGTGCTTTCTCCTCTCACTCCCATTTCTTCTAGAAAATTATATTTCTTGAGACCCTTCTTTTCCTTCCTCAAACAGTATTAAACTCTCTTACTCCTTTGAACCTAATATTTACCCATGCTATATTTTTATTTTGTATCTCTTACTCAACTTAAGTTAGCACCATGTATAAACCAACCAAGCACTGAAACATGACTCCTCAATATGATTCAACAATCTCATCTCCGTCATTGATTTCTGAAATCTCTTTATAACATTTTGCTATTGTATAATCTGTTAAGATGCATTAAACAGTTGATCTATGTATTAGCCTGTTCTCACGCTGCTGATAAAGACATATCCCAGACTGGGTAATTTATAAAGGAAAGGGGTTTAATTGACTCACAGTTCCACATGGCTGGAGAGGCCTCACAATCATGGCAGAAGAGCAAGGGACATCTTACATGGCAGGAGGCTAGATAGCATGTGCAGGGGAACTTCCCTTTATAAAACCATCAGATCTCGTGAGACTTATTCACTATCTAAGAACAGCACGGGGAAAACCCATCCCCATGATTCAAACCAGGTCCCTCCCATGACAAGAGGGGCTTATTAAAATTCAAGGTGAGAATTGGGTGGGGACACAGAGCCAAACCATATCAATCTATGACACAAAAAAATCCTCAAAACACACAAAAACATCTGTGGCAAGTAAATATTTCCAAAACAGATAAGCACTATAAAGGATAGAGATTTGGCTAATATTGTGGTGGATCAGAAGGATATTCTAATCACTCACTAATTAGAGGCAAAACCATCCAGAAAACAATTGTCAGCAACGTTTTTACCCGACTCTAAACAAAAATGTATCAATTTATAGTTTAACTATTAAGACTTCTCAGGCCGGGTGTGGTGGCTCATGCCTGTAATCCCAGCACTCTGGGAGGCCAAGGCGGGCAGATCACTTGAAATCAGGGGTTTGAGACCAGCCTGGCCAACATGGTGAAACCCCATCTCTACTAAAAATACAAAAATTAGCCAGGCATCATGGCGGTTGCCTGTAATCCCAGCTTCTCGGGAGGCCGAGGCATGAGAATCGCTTAAAGCTGGGAGACAGAGGTTGCAGTGAGCTGAGATCACACAATTGCACTTCAGCTGGGGCAATAGAGTGAGACTCCGTCTCAAAAAAAAAAAAAAATTAAGACTTCTCAAAAGATTCTTCGGGGGTTGTGTATGTGCTCACACATGGGTAGTAACACTGTTTATCCATATAATTAGGAAACTGCTTCTAACACATTAGTGAATTTTCAATTTAACACAGGTTAACCTTTTAAATAATCACACAATATTTAAAGAATGTATCAGTCTTTTATGGAAATCTGTACACATATTGAAAACTATTGCCGATGGGCAAAATCTGACCCACTGCCTGTCTTTGTATAAAGTGTAAACTATGAATGGTTTTTACATTTCTTAATGTTTGGGGCAGCAGAGTGGGACAAAAGAAGATTAGCATTTTTTGACACATAAATATTATTTGAAATTCAAATTTCAGTGTTGATAAATAGAGTTTTATTAGAACACAGCCCTTTTCATTTATTTATATGTTGTCAATGGCTACTTTTCACTGCCACATTGGAGTTGAGTTGAGTTGAGTTGACAGAGGCAGTTGAGTCCTAGCTCTGTCACTGACGGCTATGTGAGTTTGGGCAAATTATTTAAACTCTCAAAGTGTTTAAACTCAAGAATAATACAGGATAATATTTCCCTTTAAAGTTTTTGGAAAATTAAATATGTTAATAGACATAGTAAAGTACTTAGTGCATAATGGCAGTTGTGGCACCAAAACGATATGCCTAAAAAATAAGGATGCAGGAAAATTGAAAATTAAAAAATGTCAAAAGATACACTTTTGACAAATATGAGCCAAAAGAAAACATGAGTAGCTATGTTAGTAGAAGAAAAAACAGACCTCAATACAAAAAGCATGACAAATGAGAGAGGCGTTCATTACCTAATCTAAAAATGGTTCAATTTCCCTGGAAGATGCTAAAAATTCCAAAATATTTTGTATCAAAGTATATCTCATATTAAGTAAAAAATTATGGAATTAGAGTAAGAAATTGACAAATCTGTGACCAAGGTGGGAGATTTCCTTGTACTTTTCTCAATTAGGTTAAGCAGTCAGAAATTTAATAAAAATGCGGAATATTTGAACATATGTAACCTCTGACATAGGTCTTGCACTGTATTTCAATCTTAATAGTGCATTTTGATTATATAGAACCTTGCAGCTAAAAATCAGAAATAAATATTCTTCTAAAGCCCTATGAAATATGTTAAAATTGACCATGTACTCGAACATGAAAAAAATCCCAAAGGGTTTCAAACCATTAATATCAGAAAACATGTTTTCTGGCCAGAATCCATTGAGTACTTCACAACAATGCATATTATGTACCTTAACAAACATGATAGAAAGAGAAGTGAAAAAAAAACATGAATAGGCCTTAGAATCATGAAAGGAATTGAAGCATTGGTTAAAAAGCTTTTACAGAGCTTATACACAAATATTTTAAGGCATATTCTACTAAACTTTTGAGAAGAAACTAATTTAAACATTATGCAAACTCATCCAGAAAACAGAAAAATATGTCATGTTCTGCATCATAGTTTAGAAGGCCAATATAACCTTGCTACAAAATTGTCAAGTACATTGGGATAAATATAAATTATAGGTCACTAAGGAACAACATTGCAAGAAAAAAATTATTATCAGATAGTTCACAGTGGCAAGTGCATAGAAGTTGGATTTAAGGAGGGCAGTACTGGGGCCAAGGAGAAAAGTTGGTTGATGTGGGAGAGTGGAGTCCTAGAACAAGGGCAGCAGTAGTTAGAATGCAGAGGAGGAAATGCATTTAGGATATTTTTAGGTGATACACATTTGGCAGGATTAATGATTGGTTAGATACGGTTGCTTGAAGGGAAAACATGGAGTAAAGAAGGCTCCTGTATTAGTAGCATGTGTCACCCTCTAGGGTAGAAAATGAACCAGAAGAAGCAAGGAAGCAATGAACCAAAAGAAGCATTAATTCACTCTTGAAATAATGAGTTTTGTGATACAAATGGGATATTTAATAGTTACTACGTAAATGAGTCTGGCTCGGGGAGAGGAATGAGTTCTAAATACAGATTTTGAAGTCATTGTTATATAAGTGGAATTGAGACCATATGATTCATTCATTCATATTTATTAAGTGTGACTGTATGGGGGCACTATTCTTGTTCAATGAGCAAGACAGAGTCTCTACTATGATAAATCTTAAAAAGCCTGATGATGAAGACATAATTAAACAAATAGTTAGAATGAAGTGTTTGACAGAGATAATATAGATGCTATGGGAATGCACAGAAGGGGATTTAACTCACTTGAAGATCAATGTGTGGAAGAAGACTTCCAGAGGAAGTTATGCTCAGACCCAAATGGTGAATAAGAGTTACCCAAGAAAAAGGCTGAAGGAATGACATTTGCAAAGCTGTCAAGGCAAGAGAAAGAACTTAGTGTGCACAAATCTTTGGAAAAACCATTTTCTCTGGATCTTGGTATTTCACGAGAAGTGGACTATGAAATGAGATGGAAGAAACAATCAGGAGACAGATTGTGGAGCATCTTTTAAATTTGGACTTTATATGAAGAGTAATGAGAAGTCATGAAATCATTCTAATTAAGAATGTGACATATGTAGTTTGTATTGAAGAAGTTTACAGAGTCAAAGTAGCTGAGGACAGAACCCACATAAATGTCAGCATTTTAGGGGCAATTAGAGGAAGGGATGCCTGCGAAGGAAAAAGAGAATAAGCTATCACGAATTTATATTTTGATTTGTTTTTTCATGAATTTAGCAGTAGTAATCAGAAATGTGCATGAAGGTTTAAATCTCATAATATAAAATATTAACCAAACACCGTGATTCATGACCAAGAATATCAAAATGATAAATATTTATTAGAGTTTAAGGATGAATTACTAACATATTAATGATGATGGTAATAAAAGAATGATAGTTATAACTTAATATAATTTTTACTAATACCAGGAACTTATAAGTACTTTATATAAAACACAAAGTGACCCAGTAGATTTGATTATTAATACTATTTTTTCACACTAGAAAACTGAGATCTCTCATGACATTAGGGAAATTATTCAAGGTCAACCACGTAATAAGTGGTAAAACTGGTATTTGATTTCAGGCACTTAACATTGCATTATTATGACTGTCCTCTACTGACAACATCTGTGCTATAGAACTGAAAATTTCTATTTGATATAAAATAGAAAATTTCCATTTAACATCAAAATATTGGCCTGTATGTCATAAGTCCAACTCTAAGGAATTTATACGTTGTATCTGAGAACTCTCTTCCATTGCAACAAATAGTAAGTTACTACTTTCCATAGTTCTGATACAATACCTGTTATAACATGATGAATAAATTATAAAGCACATCTGTTAAGTAAAGCATACTTTTGACATAGGTTTCATACTGTATTTCAACCTTAATTGTACATTATCATTTGTATACATTTGTTTCATTTTTGTAGTAAAAGGGAAAATTCTTTGAGGCAATTTTTCTTGAGGCAAGGTGTTCCATCAGAGCTTTAAAAAGATCTTTTCCTCTATATCTTCAGATAAATGACATTTAAAAATATATATTGTCAGGAGATCATAATTCATTTGCAAATTTATTGCTTTAAGGAAGTTGTGGGCCACTGAAAACAAGGAACCAGTAAGAAAACCTACACAGCCTTATTTTCATATAAGAAAATTTCTAAACTATTATAACCACATTTCATCAGTCTAAAGATTTTTAAGGAACATGTTCTCTTTCCTTAGTCCTTGAACGTGGTTGACTAACTCAACTGAAAATTTCTGCATATGCTCAGGGCTCTATCAAAGCAAAAAAAAAGAAAATTAAGAGATGGGGGTCTCCCTGTGTCACCCAGGCTGAAATGCAGTGGCCCAATCATAGCTCACTGCAGCCTTGAATTCCTGGGCTAAGAGATGCTCCCTACCTCAGCCTCCAGAGTAGCCAGGACTACAGGTGCACACCACCATGCTCAGCTAGTTTTTATATTGTTTGTAGAGACAGGGTCTTGCTATGATGTCCAGGTTAGTCCTAAACTGCTGGCCTTGAGTGATCCTCCCACTTCGTCCTCCTAAAGTGTCAGAATTACAGGCATAAGCCACCAGACCCAGCCAAAAAATTTTTATACAATTTTATTATTTCAAAAAATTCATTAAAATGATCACCATGGGGAAAAAATCAGAACTTTTGAACTCCTATACTCTTATTTTGTAATTTGTTTGTTGGACTTTTGAATTTCCATGGAGTAGGGCACCATCACCTTTCCAGTGAGCAGGGCTTCCAGAGGTCTCATTAACATCTGCTCTCATCTCATATTCAGTACCTGAATACTGACAATGGGAAGGAAATAGGGAAGGAAGAACAGCACCCAGTTGATGTGTCAGTCAACAATGTGTGTCCAGAAGCTAGTAAGTGATGACAACGAAACTGACCCAGTACAGATATTCACGGAGGTCTGCATATTTGTCTCCCTGCCATCCCATTCAGGCCTCTTTAACCCTTCAAATGAACCGCTGGCACCAGGAAACCCTCTGCAGGCTTCTGTATTTCATCTCTAGGATTTCTTCATTCTGTCAACCCTTTGTTTATTTTGCTGCTAGTTGCTCTGCTTTCTTCTTCCTTTGACTACCCTTGTTTTAGTTTCATATCAATTATTATTTGCTCGGTGCCCCTGTTCTGATTCATTCCCCTTGTTAGATTTCATCACTCCTTCAGGATGACTTCTAGCATCTGCCCTCGAATCCTTTACTCTGTAATGCGGGACAGTGGGAGGTAGGGGATAGGCACACGCCTCCCTTTGCCTCCTCTCACCAAGTTAAAGGAGCCGGACACATAACCCTCATTTATGTGCCTTTATCCACGTTCACTTACCCCTCAGTTCATTTCTCCACTTTCTAATCCAAAGCAGTAACAGCCTGTGGAATCTGGTTTAATGAAGGCAAGTAATAAATGTTGCAGTGACTCCAAAGGAGATGCTCTGAAGAGAGTTGGACTCCCTTGCCTGATTCTGATTGTTATTTCTCCCTCAGTTACAAGTGAGAATTTCCATAGGAAGCTCCATTGTTATTTTTATACCTGTATCTCCTTTTGCTCTCCCACTGGCTTGGCTCCAGCAGGAAGGCAGTAATGTATGCTCCAAAGACACAGTTAGCTGTTCTCCTTCTCCTGCTGGGATGGATGATCCTCATACTTGGTAATTGACAACAGGTAAATATTGACTGTCAGTCTGGCTATAAATGTAACAAGAGTTTGTAAGCAAATATATTTGGATGACTGATAAAAATTATTGTAAATCTTGATGAGATTTTTTTTTTTCCTGAGAGTCTTCATAAAAGATTTAAAAAAGGAAACTCCTCTTCATCCCAGTGACGGTTTTAGACTTGAAGTTTTGTTTTGTTTTGTATTTTTTTGGGTGGGGGGCGTTGGTTAGGACATAAGTTTTTTTTTTTTCTGAGTTATTAAAACAGGGTTTAGTACTGTCAAATATTAAAGATAAATCTCTTCTTGGGATACTACAAGCTTAGAACCTGAAAGATTCTTACTTTTTCTAAATTTATATGTAAACTAACTATTTTGCTATTGTTTCTAATTTTGCTTTTAATAAGAAAAAATGAACCAGGGGAATTTTAAGTAGTCAAATCAATGGTACATTTGTGTTGGTGGAATGCGGTAATTAGGAATCAGAGATGGGGAGAAATGAGGAAAAGAACGGTGCTTGTGATCTGCAGTCCAGACACAGAGCACTTCTCTCTGGATGGCTACCAATCCACTTGACAGGTATACAGTTAACCCCTGACCTTCCCAATTCCACCTCTATCTGAAAGACATTTTTAAAAAGCAGTTGGTATCTGTAATTTTAATTCGTTGTGAACTGATGTCAATATGCTATATTCCTTGGAGATATCTGCTTTGTCATCCTCCTATATTACTTATGAATTAGGGTTTAAGGGTTTTTAGGCATCTTATTAGTCTCCAGAGAAACAGAAGCAATAGAATATATACAGATACATAAAGAGAGATTTATTATAAGAAATTGGCTCATGCAATTATGGAGGCTGAGAAATCCAATAATCAGTAAGATCAGGAGAACCAGTGGTGAAATTTTAGTCTAAGCCTGAAAGCCTGAGAACCAGAGGAGGCAATGACGTCTTAGTCCAAGTCCTAAGGACTGAAATTCAGAGGATGGATGGCATAAGTACCAGTCCGAGTCCAGAGGCCTGAGAATCAAGACCACCGATGTCCAAGGGCAGAAGATGGATGATCCAGCTCAAGCACAGAGAACAAATTTACCCTTCCACCAAATTTTTGTTCTATTTAGGCCTTCAATGGATTGGCTGATGCCCACCTACACTAGTAAGAACTACCTGCTCTACTCAGTCTACCACTTCAAGTGCTGAGCTCTGCTGGAGGCAACCTCACAGACACATTCAGAAATAATGTTTTACTAGCTATCTAGGCATCCCTTAGCTCAGTCAAGTTGAAACATAAAATTAACTATCATAGCATCCATATCTGGTAAAAGAAAAGGACGGACGTTCCCAGTGAGCCTGAAATCATGTTGCTTAGCTACTCATTACTCTAGGTTCCTAAGAAGGAAGGAGAAAATGGGAAAGAACAAAAGAATATTTCTTATTCCAATGCAATAAGAAAATGGAGGAGAAGAGTATTGGAGTTGAGAACCCAAAAGAAAAATGGGAGAGTTCCCTGGAGTGATTTATAGAGACTTATTTTAGAGGGAATAAAAGGCATGTCATTTAAAGGTGTTTCATGCCTCTTCCTCTTCATTTGTTCCTTTTTCTGTTACCTGAATCTCAACATTTTTTTTGCAAGAGGATTAAAGGCAGTTTAAAAATAAAAGACATGCATACACTAAAACCCAAAAAGTAGAAATAAAATAATAAGATCTATCTCTCCTCCTGCATAAACATACTACTCTTTCCATCCCCTCATCACCTCTTGCATTGGCATTAGCATGCAATAGCAGGATATGCATATTATACCACCCAGAACATTGTTCCCCAGGTTTCTGAAAATATGTTATGCAATATGTAGAATATAGTTTTGTAAAAAAAATGCTAACAAGAAACAAAACAGACCAAAGGAAACAAGCCAAAGGAAAATTTTCTGCTCTATGCTTTGCCAAATATATCTCTCCTAGGAACAATTTACATAATATTACAAAATTTATTGAGATATTGGATACAAGATATTTAGGAACCTCTAAAATAATACCACAAGCTTCCGTAGCAGTAATGTGAGCAAAACATTGAATATTAAGCATTAAAGAGAGTTAGGATTATGTAAAACAATTTCCTGAAGACAGAATCCACAGATGATCCCCTAATGCTTATTTTTAAATATAATATGTTGCTATGAGTCTAGTCACTAAATAAAAAACAGAATTGGAAAACATGCATGGCAACTCCTTAAGTTGTTCCTCCAGCTGAAAAATAAAGCTATATCAACCATTGAACAAAATGTATGGATTGTTAATAATGCAATATGTGAGTTATTCACCTTGTCTCTCCCACACACAGGTGACATGGGATCACTTATTAATCTTTCAAAACTGGTAAAGTGAAAGGTTGCCAGTAAGCAGAAGTCTTATTGCCAAACCTCTATCATCGTCATGGCCCTTCAATTACTCACTTAGAGTTTTGTATTTCAAACTCAATGTTATGGCTCAATTATTTTAATATGTTCCAAAACATTAACTCATTTGCCTTTGAAGTAAAGTAACATATTTATGTTACAACTGAACCTGAAATACCACAGAAATTTTTTAAAAAGTAGTTATTATGATATATGTATTTGATCTTCCTCTCTGTTTCCTGACTTACTATTACTAAACCCCCTGGAATTTCTAGGGACAGAAGATTGTCTCTAGTGTGCTAATGAGATAACTGGTGGTTGGGGGCCCTTAGATAGCTCCAAGATGGGAGCTTGTTACCAAAAGACGAAGGCAGGATCAGAGGGTTGGGACTTTTAGCCCCATACACCAACCTCTGGGGAGAAAGAGGGACATGAAAGTTAAGTTGGTCAATGGCCAATGATGTAATCAATTATGCCTACATAATGTAGCTTTCATAAAAACCCAAAGGACAGAGGTAGGAGGGCTTCCGGATGGCTGAACATGAGGAGATTCCTGGAGGGTGGCTCACCTGGGAAGGGCATGGAAGCCCCACACTCCTTTCCCCACACCTCTTCCCATCCATTTCTTCTATTTGTCTGTTCATCTGTATCCTCTGTAATATCCTTTATATGAAGGAGGAAATGAAAGTAAAGTGTTTTTCCTGAGCACTGAGATCTGCTCTTGCAAATCAATTGAACCCAAGGAGAAGGGTCACGGGAACCCCAATTTATAGCTGGTTGGCTTCCAAAGTGATGTTCAGTCTTGTGGGGGACTGAGCCTTCAATCTGTAGGATCTGATGCTACGTAACTCTGGGTAGATAATGTCAGGATTGAATGGAAGTACATGTGTGCTCTGGAGGGTCGCTTAGCTGGCATATGGGAATAACCTCCACACATGTTGGTGACCAGAGGTCACAGAACTATTTTTTGTTGATTGTTGTGTGAGAGCAGGAAAAGCACTTTGGTTTGTTTTTCTTATTCACATAGTTATCTTAATTTCAATGAAGTTACAGAGCATGGTTTGCTCAGGAGTAACCTTGTGAATCTGAAACTCGTTTAATTAGAAATTTTTCCCCAGAGTCAAGATAAAAATACACATCAACCATTTTCTGATTTTAGTGATGTTAGAGATCAAACAATTTGCTAAAAACCGAAGTCATATAAGGCCATTTCACATTGAAAATTAGAGTTTTGCTCTAATAGATGAAGAAACTGGACTTACCCCTGTCTGTGTCATACAGGAAGACAAAACAGTTCCATTCGTAGTGATCCAGCAAACTCAAGAGTGCTCCTCGTAACGAAGGTCTTAGTTGCAGCACAAACTGGCTCTCCCCCTCAGTAGGGAAACTTGGTGTGATGAGGGAGATATGTAAGGCGCTGCAGAATGAGGTCAAGGTATGTACCGACCTCTTATCATAGAGTCCAAAAATGGCAAATACTCCTCTAGAATACTGGGAACAGACTGAAACAAGAGGAAGAAAACACCACAAACTATTAGCACACTCAAATTGTTGACTTTGAAGTCTACATTCTAGAAAATTAAAAAAATAAAAATCACTGAATCATTGGATCTGTCAGGAGTATAAGATAAAGAGTATAAGTGAAGTGTGCAATTAATTGCACAATCAATTAATGAATTATTGAGCTTGTACTCAAAGGCTTACATTGAGTGAAGCTGGTCTGAATTAAAATTCTGCATTAAGAAGCCAATTGGATTAAAGGGAAATTTGACTAAAATAAAAAAAATATGGCCTTCCATAATAATGTGGCAAATCCTATGCTAGAGAACTTTAGGTGTGACAAGTCCAAAATTATTTTCTGTATTTTTTTCTACATGCAAACATACAATTATATACGCTTGAAATTTTTGAGTATTAATTGAAGGAACATTTATAATACCTTTTGCCCTCCTGCCTAAACTATAAGCATATATTTTCTATTCTTGAATTGGATTATAGTTTTCACTCCGCCTAAATTGTTACTTTTTATTTGCTTGCTGTGGCAATTTCATTTTAATCACAATCTTAGAGTCTCCTTGAATCATGTTTGAAAACAGACGTTAGGCTGCTAGAAAGTCATTCTTGGAATATCTGAGAGGCTTAATGAATTGGGGCCAGCTGCGCATGTTGTAGGCGGGCCGAAAAGCAAAGACAAACCAATTCCAAAACCCAACAGAAGCAAGCCAAATAAAGTAAGAGGACCCCAGAGAAACAGGTACACGGCCTCATCTTGCCTTTCTTGGTCCATGCTCCCAGTTGCTACAAAACCATGAAGCAACATCATAAATAGAAAAAGATTCTTCTCAAAATTCTTTTTCAATCACATTTTTATCACTCTTTTAACATAACTGATTTCTGGTCCAAATTGGTGTGACTTTTTCCAATTTATATTTTAAGGGACAGAAGCTCGCAAAGGAGGTACCATAAAGAAAATCTATTTGGATTCCAAATTCTTATGGTTTATCATGTATGGCTAACAGTCCTATTTCTTCTTGGCTTATGTAGCTAGATTAAGAAGTGTTTAGGTCTATAAAATTTTTATGTTTTCTGATTTTAGTTACTAATCTTACTTGTATTAGCTATGAATACATAATATGGCAAGAATTAAATGAAATTATGTAAAAGTGCTATGCTATGAAGACACAGAAGGTGATTAATAAGAGGCAGATTTTAACACAGTTTTCTATGTGCATTTATGTTGTTAAATAGTTTTACTTTTTAATGAGAGAATAAAAGTCTTAGTGAATAAAATACTACAGTTGATTCAAAACCAAGAAAGGAGGTATTCAGATTCTAAATAGAAATACCATTTATTTTGATAGATATTATATTAGGGTTTATAAAGAAATTCTATCAAAGAAGAACCATCAACTAATTCTATGCTCACCAAGGAACTAGAATTTGATCTTCTGAGAAGACTGACCAACATGGAAGTCTTGCTCTGACAATGTGACTGGCTGTAATTTTCTTGCAAGATATAAGGAAGTTTCTAGTTGAAGCTTCAGGCATCTTAAGTTTAACTTAATTCAATTCTTATAACTTAAGTGATCTAATAAATCAAGTTGCTGCGTCAGACCCTAATCTGTAAATGTTCCACCAAGGCTTTGGATGCAAGTATGTAAGTGGTCCACATTTAACACCATTAGAACCTGGAGTTACTCAGCTCCTTCATATTTTCATATTTTTTGTTCTACTGATTTTCTTGCAAACTGAGGGCCAACTCTCAAGCTTTACATGATAAATAACATGGTTCAATTAATTTGTATTTCACTCTACTGACAAAAATAAATTGAAGAGCTGTAGAATTCAAACCTAAGATCCTGGCTTTTAGTTTGTGCTGAAACTATACACAAATTTTAATACTTGTTCTAGAAAATGTAAACAAACAGGATTTACAAGTCGTGTACTTTAACTTATGCATATAATGAATATTTACATAATCTTTTAAAGTATGCCACTTGAAAACCATACGATTTTCAAGCTTTGGCTTCTAAATTATGTTTTTCTAGGAACCCCATAAATTCCATGGAAGTACTCATGTAGCTTTTTATGAAGACTTTTGCTGAGATAGCATTGGGTGGGCAATGCTGGACTCCTTTTCTTGGTATCCTTCCCTTCCACCCTCACAAAAATCCAGGAGCACTTCTGCTTTCATCTATTTTAAATATTGAACAACTGACTCTATAAAATTTAATGTCCAAAGTGTACTACACTGCTCAAGTTCAAAAACAACAATTGTACTATACATAAAGTCCATCTACTCTTTATTCCTATTATATTGTTTTCATTGTAATCATTATGACTTTTCACTATTCTGGTACTCACTATACTATTTAATATTTTAATTTATTATACTGGACCTCAACAAACAATATTTTCTGATATTTTATCGTCTTCTATCTGCTTTCGTTCATTTGCATCATCATACATTTCTATTTATTCTCCTTTTCATAGTTGTCTGTCATTCTTCCTCTATTCATATATACTTACTTTGAAACTATAGTCTCAGGCTGATAAATTTGCTTCTGATGTATTCTGTCACTCGCATTTTACTTTCCCTTTGCAAATTTACAGCTGTAGTCTTATTCTTTTAAACATTTATTTTTTCCTATTTTGTCTAGATCATAGGCTTAGCAAGTGAGGGTTATTGGGTTTTGTGTGTGTGAGGATAGATTGTCAGGCAAATATTCAATGTTATTATGTTAGTATGATACCTTGGGCAGTATTTTATTTGGTCCAGTGATTCAAATTTTAAAATACAGTTATTTCCATATATAGTATTATAATATAGCTTTGAAAACACTCTTGAATCAAAATTTTGCTTGGCTGAATCTTATGACATCTATTGTTGCTTAGCATACAAATAATTATTCAAACAATAAAATGTCTTAGATTATATAAATTCAAACAAATTAATGAAAGTAAACTAAGCTGAATTGAATGTGTTCAGAATACATAAAAGGGAAAAATGTAAATTTTTATGTTTTCATAAAATGGCAAAATAAACGGGAATTAATGCTTAGCCACTAAATACATGCAATGATATTAGATTGCTCTATATTTTAAGTTATAAACACTAATCAGAATAAGACTTTCAATGAAATGTCATAATTTTAAGTGCATGTTCTGTGTTCTGTTTCACTAACAAGATCACTTGGATTATGTATTATATAAATAGAGACATACAATAAACACATGATACTACTCCATTTTTTACCTGATTGTGTCAACTAATTAAATATGTCTTCTCATCAGGTTCATTCCCAATTTCATTCCAGATGCCACCTTCCAGATGCCACGCTAAGTCAAATGATTATATAATTTGTGAGGATTTGTAGTTCTATATCACATACAAATCAAAGGACACGGCCTTAGCTCAGTGTTTCTCAAGTTATGGGACATCAATCCAAGAGATGTGCTGAATTTTACTGACCATTGCAGCATGGTGAGGAAGAGCACTGTTCTTTCTTCCATCTATGGCCCTTCTCTTTCTCCTGTATCTTCAGTTTTCCACCTCTTAAGAAGTTCCTCTAACTGCTTTTAAACAAGCTCAACTCTTTTCTTTTATAAAGCAAAGAACTTTCCTGACCTCATGCTTCCTATCTCTCTACTGTTTCACAGCCATATAGTTGAGGAGTCTTCTGTTCACACTCTTTTCAATTCATCTACCTGGCTTCCGCATTTTCCAGCCACCCAAACTAGTCTCTTCAACTTTGCTAGCGACTAACTACATCCTAAATCTTAGAGTTTAGGTTTTATCTTATTGGAATACCCTGGTATGTTTGACACATTTGGACATTTCTTTCAAATGCTTCTTTGCCTTGCATTCCTAACACCACAACTATGCTCTCTCTTGGCGTTTCTTAGTGTCCTTGAACACTTCTTACTCTGCTCCTTTAAAGTTAGTGCACCTTAAAATTCTCTCTCGATCCGCCTTTTCATTCTAAATATATTTCCTGCGTGAAATCATCCAATTCTGCGGCTTTAATTACCATCTATGTTCTCATGATCCCCCAAACTGTACCACCCACTTCAAATGTTTCTCTTGAATTCCAGATTCATGTACCTAATTGTCTTTTGCCTCTTCTGCGCCTCAGTGAATTTTCTGAGAAATGGTTGCAATGGTTTTCTTCCTTTTTCACATTATCTTCTAGAACTTTGCTACTTCCCCATTCAGAATTGGAGTCTTTCCTCTCACTTGAACCTGGGTTGGCCTTTGAGACTGCCTTGACTATTAAAGTATCACAAAAGTGATTCTAGGGGCGGGGCGCGGTGGCTCATGCCTGTAATCCCAGTACTTTGGGAGGCCAAGGCGGGCGGATCACGAGATCAGGAGGTTGAGACCATCCTGGCCAACATGGTGAAAACCCGTCTCTAATAAAAATACAAAAAAATTAGCAGGGCGTGCTGGCACATGCCCGTAATCCCAGCTACTCGGGAGGCTGAGGCAGGAGAATCATTGCTTGAACCCCAGAGGTGGAGGTTGCAGTGAGTTGAGATCGGGCCACTGCACTCCAGCCTGGGCAGCAAGAGCAAAACTCCGTCTCAAAAAAAAAAAAATCACAAAAGTGATTCTGTGTGACTTTTGAGAATACCATTCTCATTCTCTGGGGATAGACAACCTTTTTACTCAGCCACCATGCTGTGAGGAAGCCCAGGTGACGTAATGAGGCCCACATAAAAAGGAACCAATACCTCAGCCATAACTAAGTTCCAAGCTGACTGCCAGAACAAAGTTAACAGCACTAGGAATAAATAATCTTAAAAATGCCCTCGGTTAAACTGTCGCAGCCAATGCTGTATGAAGTAGAAATTAAGTCTTGCCCCAAATGTAAAATCATGAGCAGAAGAAATCACTGTTATTCTAAGCCATTCAGTTTGAGATGGTTTGTTATGCAATAATAACTACCAAGTAAAATAGATGTGTACAGTACTTAGGAGTATTAAGGAGTGTGCCTACCCACAGTAAGCACTCAATACATATTTTATAGACCTGTATATTAATAAATATTGTTTGAAGTATGTGTCGAAGTTTAGTTTTTTCGTTTCTTAATATTGAGCATTTTGGTTGAGCTTAATATTGAGCATTTTGGCTGTTTTTAATTTTTGGCAGTGATAACATGCTCTTATAATAACCATTTTCATGTATATCTGGTTATTCATTAGGATATATTGCTAGAAGTGAAATTATAAAATAAGGGGTATGAATCTTTTTGGTTTTGATCAATATCACTAAATTTCTCTCCACAAGTTTATACTAATACACATCTCTCCCAATAGTAAACTATCTACTAGGTTTGTCAACTTTTCTTAATTTTCTATATTCTATATTTATTCTTTCAGTTGTTGCTCTTGTTTTATATTCATACTTGACATAAAATTCTGATTTTAGTAAATATCTCCATACTCCATCTGAATAATACATAGACATTTAAGCATTTTAACTTTGACATTGCCCTCCTGTCTTACGTGTTACTGTTGTACAGTATTATAGTTCCACATGTGTTTAGTCATCTTAAACATTTCATTCCCTCTATCATATATTTCTATTGCCTAAAATCCTTGGTAATTTGATACTATTTTGTGTGTGTTCTAATTCGTATTTAAAGTGGATTGTCAACATATTTGTTTTGTAATTTTGAATTGTGAACTAATTTTCAGCAAAGCTCTATTTGTGAGAATTTAAGAGGGCTGTTTTGGAGAAATATTTCTCCAAAGTGTTTTTGCATTTACTTATCCCAATTATTCCAATATGTTTTTGTAAGTGATGTACCTGTGTTTGTGTGTGTACATGTGTCTGTGAATTTCTATGTTTATGAGTTCCTAGAAATTGCAGATAGTACAAATTTGAACAGAAAGTTCACTTGAGAGCAGATAAATACGTCAAAATTCTTATGGGAGTATGTTACTTTTTATGCAGAACTCAAGGGAAGCCAGGAAGTTTTTAGGATTACTCTTTGAGCCAGGGAACAGATTTTTTTTTCCTACATCTACTTTCTCACTGATGCTGTAGCCTTTACGAATCCTCGTTTGTATGGTGATCTCATTTCCAGCTTTTTGCCGATTGTTGGTTCAAGGCCTTGAGAATCACTTTCCCATGTAAACCTCCCCAAGGGAAGCTACAGTACCTGCTCCTGTTGTCTAAATTTTTCTGTTTCTTAGTTCTGTCCCTTTGATATTTTATATAATTTCCTGTAGACTCATTATACATTTGAAAAAGTTATCAGTTATAAAAATCTAATACTCCTAATTGTTCTTAATAATTATGCTAATGTTATAGAATCCATAATCTATGGAACTGGAGGTCTTTGCTGCCTTTGTTTGTAAGATGCTGTGGTCTAAGGTCAGAATTTTATCCAACTTTGTGTTTGGCATAACCCTTAAAATATTTAACTTTTCTATGACTTGTCAATCCTGATAGTGCAGAAATTTCATTTTCAGCAAACTTTCCCTGATTCCTTTAAACTGAATTAACAACCTTGCCTCTTTTTTTGCCATAATACTCTGTGCACTTCTAAAAAAAAAAAGCCAAACCTGAATTTTCATAACAATATTTGTTGTAATTATTTTTGATGTTGCCTATCTCTAACAATAGCATGATTTTCTTGAGATTTTCATCTAATATTCCTAAGGGCTATATTTTCTGAATGAACAAGTAAACTAAAAAACCACAATAATATTTTTAGGGATAGTATCATTTTATATGATCTCATATATTATAATTGTCTCAGAATATTTATTACTTCATAACTAGGATATTGTAATAATATTATACAATTACTTGTCTTTTTTCCTACCTACAATACACACACACACACAAGCATGCAAACACACATATATAATTATTATTAGACATGTAGCAAACGTATCGCATAAATGTTTATGAAAATATTATAATTATAGCAATAATTGTTGGGTAGTATTAATAAAAAATCTCTACTAATATTGGAAGAGGGAAATGTATTAATTTTAGTTACGGAAATAGGATGTGTTGAGTCAGTAAATTCGTAGGAAAAAGGAATACTCAGCAGAACATTGAGGAGAGGCAGGCAAGCTAAAATAGAGGAGGCTACAAAATGTTTACATTCTTAAGCACATCAGTGAGATAAGCTAAGAACAAGGTTAAAACCAGGCTAAGCAAGACAAAAGTCTTAATATAGACTGAACTCCACAAGTCCCACTCCTGACTGCCTTGATTGCGAAAGTCCTCCTCATATTAGTGATATTTTACTAACACAAATAATGTAAATGGTAACTGGAACAACATATGAACTAGATAGAAACTATATTTTACAGATAAAACTAAGAAGTCATTTGAGACAACTTTGTACAACAGATAGAGGTAAACTTATGAGGATTGTGAATTAATGGCATTGTTCTGGGTATATTGGCTTAGAACTGCATTTCTGTGTTTCTTCTTCTTCTGGATTAGTCGGTGTAGATATGGTAGATGTTTTGTGTTTTTCTGTCACTTTACCTCTTCTACAAAGTGGCCATTACTACATGGATGGAAACTCAAGAACTAAACACATTCTCCTGCTCCGGTTTGGCAAAGTGGCTCAAGTTGTTAGCTTTGTGAAAGTCTGCTGCCTTGAGTAATAATATTCCTAGCCCTTGTTGCTACCAAGAAGGGTTAGAGTAGTTAGACAGAAGATTTAAAAACAAACAGTGATACGAACAAACGTATTACTTAACATAGATGTTTCATAAAGAACTTTATAAAGAATTTTAACATATGTAGCCTCATTTATTAATATCGTTATTATTATTTTATTACTATTATTCACATTTTGGAAAAAATGTTAGTTATTAGCACAAGAAAAGAGAGATTACAGAAATTTATCTAACATTTCAAAAGTCTCTCTTCAGAGTTTCTATTTTCTTCTTATTTAGTCCACTAGATTAGAGCATAGGACTTAAAAAATGTTTTTCATGTATTAAAAGGTTTACCTATTCCCTTTTTGAAATGTACTGTATCCATAGAAACAGAAAGATGATTGGAACCTGCAGCTGGAAAATGTTATTATGAAGGAATCAATAAAAACTAGAAGCACTATAAGAAAGTTGACCCTAAATTAACAGTGTAACACATAACATGTGGTTACACTGGGCCTGGGAAATGGGAAGAGAGCAGAACGGAAAAGAAAAAGCTACTAAAACTCTTTGACTTGTCTTTAATATTATCCAATTTGTATGTGATGTATAAGGTGCATTTGTCTAAGTGTCATCATTTTCTGAGCTAAGGTAACAGAAGCTAAAGGTTTTTATAGTACATCTTGCAGCAGGGGTCACCACCTTGAAGTCCTGGGTCTAGAGGAGATGAGCCTTATTTGACAGCTACATTTTTTCCCCAATTGAATATGAATGCTTTGAGGTGAGGTATGTATTCCTCAGCAAACTGCAAGCCTTACCACTCCGTATTAGTACTACTATGATACTTCAAGTATTTATGTTAACTTCCTAGCCTTGTAGATATCTGAACTCGGATAACTAATCTATGCATTTTTCGATATGAATATAACTGTTTCTTGGTTTGGGGCAAATTGTTTAAGGTTGTATCAAAAGTGTGCTTATTAGTGTTTTCTCCTTCTTTAGTAGAAAGCATGCACTTCCAAAAAAGAGGTGGATTTAACACTACCACTCATTCCTCTATTAAAAAATGTTTATATACTGCCTAGTTTATTTCAGTCACTGTGTTAAACACTTCAAAGAAAATACAAAATAGTATTCCCACTAAGATGAGTTTCACAGTCTAGTGGACAAGACAGGGCTCTAAACTGATAATCCAAGATGGTGAATATAATAAGGAACAGTCAGAGGGAATTGGGAGGCACAGGGAAGAGGTACTTCTCAGAGGGTGGAGTGGAGGGAAAGACTGACTGGAGGAAATCCTACCTGTCTGTGGAAGTTAGGCTGAAGAATAGTAATTAAAGACATACAAACCAGTAAGTAGGCTATTGTAGTAGGCCAAGAAAGAGATCATAAAAGGGCAAATTAAAGCAGATGTGGTAGGCATACAATGTAGAGGTCAGATTTGGGAAGTATTTAGGAGATAAATAGGCAGAATCTAATAAATTATTGAATGAGGAGGATGAAGAAGAGGGAGGAGAAGAAGACAGAAAGATGACTTCTTGTTTGTATCTTGAATGAATGAATGGATAGCGGTGGTATCACCTTGGGTGATAGCCTGGATAGCTTGGAAAGATTTTTCTTGGATACTATGGGAGAAGTACA
Organism: Homo sapiens; assembly: GCF_000001405.40. Taxonomy (NCBI): domain Eukaryota; kingdom Metazoa; phylum Chordata; class Mammalia; order Primates; family Hominidae; genus Homo; species Homo sapiens. The sequence continues at coordinate 105,743,709 of NC_000011.10, read as the reverse complement.
GTTTTATAATACACAGAAAACACTGGATTCCATTTTGGACATGTTGAGTTTGAGGTCCCAGGTGTCTAGCTGGTAGTTGCATGTAAGAAAATGAAGTGGAGCAAGAAGAAATGGTTTAAATATGTAGATTTTGAAGGAAATGACTGTGAAAGTCAACATGAGATTCTACAGGAACAATGTGCGGTGAAAACCTCTTGTCTGATGATATAAATATGGAAAACAATTCATTTCAAAAATAATAGCAGATATTATTGGAGGAATAGGAGACCTGGCAGATGAAGTCAGAGAAGGTAGAATTTTTCAAGAAATGAATGCTCAAAAGTATCAAACAATATAGAGAAAGATTTTTCAGGTTTGCGTTTGAGGATTTATTTTTAGAAGTCCCTGAGTTGTCTGGGAGACTTTATCAGGTTGTTGTTAACATTTGAATGGTTATTTTAAAGTAGTGTAAGCATATGCTGAATCATCTAGATGACCTCCCTGAAATAGAGAAATGCCTTGGGATTTCAGTGCCTGTACTTCTATTTTTGAATGAAATCACATTTAAAATACCTCAGGGATAAATGATACCTAGAAATGTTAGGTAAACAAATGCACACCAACTGCTTGAACAAAAACATAGTGATAAGAAAATGGAGGCCTTATATGCGCACCCAGTTTAGGCACACAGAACATAAAAATCTGAGGGCTCATGCCGGTAATCCCAGAACTTTGGGAGGCTGAGATGGGTGGATCACATGAGGCCAGGAGTCCGAGACCAGCCTGGCCAACATGATGAAACCCTGTCTGTACTAAAAATACAAAAATTAGCCAGATATGGCAGCAGGCGCCTGTGATCCCAGCTACTCAGGAGGCTTAGGCAGGAGAATCGCTTGAACCCGGGAGGTGGAGGTTGCTGTGAACTGAGATCTCGCCACTGCACTCCAGCTTGGGTGACAGAACACAAAAAACTGATTTTTTGGGTTCACCATTCCAGTAACAACTGTGTTAGATACCAATAAAATGTGGGCTTTGGTAATTATGTAATGCTAAATGTATCTGCAAAGGAATATGACTTTAAAGGGTATCAAGAGAGGCTATATATATACATACACACACACACACATATATATATATACTCACACTTGTATATATATACACACATGTATATGTGTGTGTGTGTGTGTATAAATATGTTTGATAGGAGAAATTTGAGCTTGTTTACAAGTTAAGGGAATGGAGTCAGTAGAGAGCAAGATAGGATACAGAAGAGATAAGGGATACTAATTAAATGAGGCTCCAGAAAGATAGAATACATGGGGTCAAGGACAGATATAAGGTTGGCCTCGAATGAGATGTGCAGGTGCGTGGGTGGGAAGACACCTCATTTCATAGATTTCATAAATCAAAGATTAGGTAAGATATGTGTAGGGGTTTAAAGCTCTATAGTTGCACTGATTTACAAGGGAAGGTTGCAAATCAGTGATATTTGAAAAGGGGGTTTGAAAGTAGTTCAAGTTTCAAATTGTTTCAGAAGGCTGGAGAAAAAACTAACCAAGAACACATGAAGTAGCTTATAAACTGTTATGATAAGGAACTAGGCTTATTTTATTTACAGCTGTGTCCAGTACTACACATGTAACACACTAACTGCCACATGATAAACGCCCCATAAAACCCTACTGAATGAATAACACAACAAGCAAAGTGAATTAATTTTTTTATGATGAACACACCTAAAATCTACTCTCAGCATATTTTCAATATATAATACAATATTATCAACTATAGTCCTCATGCCATACGACTTATTCATCCTACATAACTGCAAGTTTGTACCCTTTGACCTGCTTCTCCCCGTTTTGTCCTCCTTCCTGTGCCTGGTAACCACCATTCTTGGTTCTGTAAATAACCATTTCACTATGTATCAAAAAATCATGTTATATATCTTAAACATACACAATAAAAGTAAATTAAACACACAAATGATTGGATAAATATTGACAGACCTCAAAATGTGAATTGGGAGTGGCCACAATTTAGAAATGTATGACTCTTCAGGCACAGATAAGGCTGGTGACCAAAGGGAATAATTATGAGGAGTTGATTTCTAGAACTTTGCCACTTCCCTTCTTGGAACACACTCCTCTCTTGGCTTCCCCAACAAGCATACTTTCCAGAGTTCCCTCTTACCTGACAGCTTATCCCATGTTTCCTCCTCTTGCATTTCCCACTTGACCCATTTTAAAATATTGAAATAGCACTTCTTCTACAATGTTTCTTTAGATCATCTAATCCATTTCTATAGCTTCAACTATTACTCATGTTCCAAAGCTCCCATGGTTAATATTTTCATATTGTCCCTTTCTTTTCCATGAGCTTCAGACTCAAATATCAACAGTTTCCTTGACACACCCTTTGGTTGTCTCTTCTGCACCTAAAACTTAGCTGGGTCAAAACAGAACCCTTCATTTCCCCCCCTCAAAACCTTTTCTCTATTTTCTGCCATTCCAACAGAAAACATGGCTATCTATGAAAATATTCTTGATTCTTATCTTCCTCTTATTTCCACATCTAACACATGAGAAAATCTTGATCATTTATCTCCAAAATATCTAAACTATGTCTAAATCCATTCACTCCCTTTGTCTCCATTACGCTGCCATTTTTTGCCCAGTCAGCTTCAAGTCTCCTAACTCTTCTAACTATTACCAGTTTTCCTCCTCCCTAATTATGCTCCTCTCAACAGAGAATGTAAATAGACTGCATCTCATCCCTACTTAAAATTCCAGTGGCTTCTCATCATATTTGGAGTGATACCCATGTGATCTAAAAGCCACAATGACTTTTGTCTTTACTAAACTCACCTAACACTGCACCGCTTACTAACCATAGCCAAACTCTCCCTTTTTCTTCTATTTAAACTTATCTTCTCCCCTCACTTCAGGGCCTTTGCAGTAGCTGCTCTCACCTGATCTACATATAGTTGGACTTCTCACCAGTCTTTTCTCAACAAAACTGTCCACTCCTCAGGGAGACCGTTTCTGACTCCTCTCTGTCATGAGGCTCTCAGAGCTCCAGTCATTCCTTACTACAGTTATTTTCTTCATAGCTCTTACCACTATTTGAAATTATCTTATTTATTTGATTGCTTATTTACGTCTTTTATGTAGGAGAATACACGTTCCACAAGAAGAAGTAACTGGATTGTTTTTCACTGACATATCCCTAGCCCCTAAAGTTGGCACATGGAAAGTGTTCAATTAATATTTGCAGAATGAATGATATCATGGTTTATGGCAAAAGAAATAAGAAAGGAAGAGAATGAGAGAGTGTGGAATGACTGGCTGAAAGCCACAAAAGTCTTACTTTCAGGTTGCTGAGTTGACCCTGGCAGTTAAGTTTCTGTTTCTGCAGTGGATCTTCCTCCCCTTTTGACCATGCATTAACTCACCAATAGTTTTTAATTAAAGCTCAGTTTTTGAAAATTGGCAGCTATTAAAACAAAGAAGTATAATGACTCTTTGTGAAGAAACCAATTATAATCATAGTTATATATTAATTGTTTAACAATCTTAACTCAGTTAAGACATTCTCCTTTACACTTGACACAAAATGCCTCTTTATTTTGTTTTATCAGGGTGATGTTATGTTGTCATTTTCATACATTTAATTTTTGCTAGCTAGAATGTGATGAGGTTGTCAGTGCATCTGGCAATGTAGAGCCTAGAATTGAGTGTCAAACACAATTAATTTCAGGTCTTGCAGCCTCTCCCAAACACTCACTGCTCAGCCTCTTGGACTGTCCTGAATATTTGTTTTTCATTCTATATTAACTTAATTTTTACCTGTTGATTTTCAGAATGCTGCTATTTATCTTTCTTTTAAAATAAATCTTATTAGCCCTCTGGATGTTAAAAATAATTTCTCTTAAAATACTGACAGTTTATTTGAAAACTTTACAAAGTCAGGCAAGAAATTCCTTTTTCTGTAATTATTTGATGTTAAAATGATAAGCTCCTCATGTTCAGATTTGAAAAGGCTCAATCAGATGGTGGATAGGCATGCTGGGCCCAGAATTCATTAATTTATACCCTTAAGGCATTATCATAGGTTATTAATATGTAAATGCTAATTTTCTTAGAATTCTGAATAGTGGTTAGCTACAGTACATAAAGTTACTGAAGCTAATCACCATAAATGACAAGTTGAAATGCAAATTACACAAAAATATTTCACTTTAATTATATATCAATTAAGTACTTTCAGTGTTTCAGATGTCTTCTCTGAAGCTGCTTCTGGACAGCACCATCAAAGATCACAATGAGATATAATCATGAGCTGCACTTGTACAGTCCTGCACATGCTTCTCTTTAGTTTTATGACATCTGAGCTAAAAAGCACATTTCAATTCTAAATTAAACTAATTGAGAGCTCAGTAAAAATATACAGGCTTGTTTGCACATTTCTTTCCGGAGTCAGGCCATCATAATGGAAACACATGGCTCACTTTGCTTCCAAGGCCTACAAAGGAATAAGCAGAAGGCTATTTGCAATACTCAGCACGAGGAGCAAGATTCCATTCAGTGTAAAGACGGCTTCCTTGGCAGTAATTTGGGTGCTGCAAAGATCACATCACTCTTTTATACTACTAATCCGTAACCGTAAGGGCTACAATAAGTGAGCTTTTGGAAGGAAGGAAGGTGAGAGAAAAGGAAGAAAGAAATTTCTAAAAGGCATCTAAATCAAAACAGGTGCATTTGGGTTTTTTTTTGGGTTTTTTTTGTTTTTTTTTTTTTTGTTTTTTTTTACTTGTCAACTTCCAATTATGAAGAAACAAAGTATAGAGAAAGAGGCACCCAGTGATTTACTGTTTAGCATTCAAGGATTTAGAATATATTTTTACCTTTAAGTGATCCTTTAATGGAAACGTTTGATTCATCATCTATATTTTGTACTATATAACTGAGTCACATAATTACAGTAATATTCTTTTTATGCCAGAGAAACACTTTTTCAAGGGTCTAAATAATGGGTTGAAAGCATTCCGTCATTGGAGGAGACACAGCTGTCTTCCTGAAAATCATTTAAATGCATTTTGGAAGTGGGTAACAGCAATTAAAAATGGAATGGAATAATATTTGGGCAGATATTTGAGTGGGTTTTAGAAACAACTATTCTCATGAGTATTACACTTCCTGAATAACTGAAGTGTCATCACTTATTTTGGATCCAGAATTTGGTGACATTTGTTTAATGTATGTGTTTACCACTCCACATAACTCTGTGGTAGCAAGAACTGTGGCTGCTTTAATTACCATTCTTTATTTTTTTTCTGCTCCAGCATTCAGCCTAACGCTTGGCACATAGTTGGTGGGCAATAAATATTTGCTAAGTGAACAACCTAGTGAATGGAGGCAAACAAGAGGTCATATGTGAAAGGTATTTGAGATTCATGAAGATATTTAGCCCAATTAATCTACAGAATGAATAATTCCTCATTGTATTGAAGATGACACAAGTTACCAAAGTTAATTTACATGCAACTTATCTGGAATTCCCTTACACATTAAATTCGCTTCCACTCATTCAATGAGACTGCCTGCTCTGTACTTGAGACCAAGGATACCCATCCAAGTATTCTAATGCCATGTGTTAAGCATGAGAGGGAGGCATCCAGGCAGTTAGCTGGGGAAAGCGAACAGGGCAGGGGGGTGGGAGGGGGAACTTATTATATACCCATGGTGTGTGAGACTCTGTAGTAGTCATTTTATATTATTTATCTCCTTTAAACTTCATGACATTCTTATAGGGAGGTATTCTTGTTTTCCCTTTTCTTTTTGAAAGATGAAATTTGGTGAATTTATGCAACTCATATAAGTTTATACATCTAAGTGGTGAAAGAACAATAATTTTGTAACCTACATCTGCTTCCAAAGTTCATGTTCATTTCATTCCACCACTTGAAAAGAAAATCACTGGCTAAGTACTTCTTCCATCCTGCTCTGCTGAAGGGATTTTGACCATTATACCTTTATTGCTACTGGAAGAGGCACTCTAAGAATACTTATACTTCATGGAAACAGGAGTAGGTCTTAAGGGATTACGGAAAATTGGTTTCTTCTTAAGAAGCCACTTCTTAAAGCAAACTGAGTTTTTGCTGTCAATTTAAAAAGGACAAACACATATATAACTCAGAACAATAAGATTGCAGTAACCGATGTTTCAATACTTTTTTTTTTCTTTTATTTTTGTAGTTGTCCCTTACTAAAGTCCCCTGCAAAAAATCCTGGAACAGAATTTACAGCTAACCATGGCTAGATGGAAATATTAAACTTTTGCATGGTTAATATTCACATGTAAAAACAATTTCTTCCCCTTCTAGAATATAATAATTGAACTAGTCAAATGTTAGTAAAAAGACATAAAGCAGCCAATTTAATTGTGTGTTGTTATTTTTTGGCTGTATTCAAATTTCAAAAACAATTTTCAAACATTTGGGCTGTACACCAAGAAGGACAACACGAAACAGAAATAATCAACTACTCCAGTTACTTGTTAAAGTTATACAAGTATACAGCTTTTTGAGTTCTCAGACCATTTCCAGCGATTTCAAAGTTAAATAAATTCTGATTTATAAAGCTCCTTACGCCTTCATTCTGTTATTAGAATATTACAGAATAGAATGCTATCCAATAAAAATGCTGTTTAATTCCCTATATTAAACCATGATTTATTACTGAAATTATACTACTAATAATTTTCTCTTACTGCTTCTGCGTGTGTGTTTGTGTGTGATGAAAGCAGTAAGTGCTTTGGGTTTTAGGAAATTGTAATAGTAGAATAGAATATGGCTTGGTACAATAATCACTATAATCTTAATCTTAAAGGCATTAAAACTTGAAGCATATATTTCTTTGCTTTTATACTAAAGTAACATTTTTTCTAATAACATATGTTAGAATAGTTTGAATCCCTTAAAACCAAAAGGTCAGACTTTATAGTAGAATATAGCCTTTTGAAAAAAAATTTAAATGTATTTATATCTATTTTGTAGCTAATACAATAAAAAGAAGTTTAATCATTGCATCTAAAGTAAAATAATTTATGCAGTATAAAGTCTGATTATGTATATAAAGTAACTTATATCAGGTGTTTATGAGATGAACAAACATGTATACTATATATATACTATACAAGGAGATTCTAAAATTTTTCTAAATAACTTGAGTATTTAGTGTACTACATAAGAAAATAACTTTCGGAAATTGTGTAGTAACAGTTATTATTCTGAATAAATAATCATGAGTATTTCAAATATAACATTTTCCAACATATACAGCCATATTTTTAGAGAGAGAGAGAATGACTATTCTTTCAATATGGCTCTCATATCCGCCTACCATTAATTTACTCTAAATGAAGACTGCAAAGTACAGCATCCACAGGGCCTAGGAATGTAATGTAAATGAATGAAGCAGGCCGAGGGCAGGGTGGTGAGGTCAGTAATGAATCTGAGAGTACTTACCCCACTACAAGGGGTGCCACTGTCATCCCAAAATGATTGTTGCCAAGAGGGATTAAAGGCCCAGTGTGTCTGGGTACTCTGAATTTTTTATAGAATCTTTATATCTGAGTATTTGTGAATATTCTTCTAATTTTTAAGCATTGGCCACCAATTAAAACATTTATTTATTTTAGAGTGTGTCAAGATAAATTTTATTTCTGGGAAGCATATTGTCTAGAACTGACAGTTTTCTGGGACAATTGCTGCCCCTTCTTCACTTAAATTTGCACATATATTACCAAACTAAATTTTCTAATCTTTACAGTGCTCATTTTAACCTGGTGCTCTTAAATTTGAGCTGTTTATTGTCTGTTTAAAAATGTATGTCTAAGTATGTAAGTGTGTATCCTTCTAGTGCCAAGGAGAAAACAACTTTCCCGGATTATGGCTTTTTATGCCTATATGAGACTTTAGAGACTATCTAGATGGATTCTTCCCTTTTACAGAGGAAGACAGTAAACCTCTAAGATATTAGGTCACTTGCCCATGGCCTTTAGACACTGACAAAGTAAAGCAGATGTCCTTAGCTTAGATAAAAAGTAGAGATAAAAAGTCCATTCAAATAGAAGGAACAATTTTACAGTAAGATCCTACTTATAAATTAATAGAAATGTATGTAATGAATTTCTTGCTGCTACAGGGAGAGGAGACCTGTGAGAAAGGAATGTCTACCTTGTATCTTGTTATTTAAACTATATTTTATGAAATTGTTGCACCCAGAGAGTAGGATGAACACTTCTGTGGATATTTGCTAATGGGTCTGAGCACATTTTAATTATTCAAATATTTAATCAGTAGTATTTACATATTTAATAAATTATTATCCTTTCTCTTTTGCTGATTAAGACAAGCGAGTTGTTTGTTCACTTACAAACATCCATGGTTCACTATATTGAGTCTAAGCAGATTTTTGTTTTTGCAACATGATTTTCTTTCTTTTTTTTTCTGATAATGTTTACTGATTTCATGGTGGAAAGTCTCTAAGGGTTTAATCTGAAAGCTAATTTTTTGAATAATATTTCATGTTTGAGGTAGCTATATGTTAGCTCAGTGTATATATGCTGATTTGCGTATTGTATTTTAGGTACTCTGTTGGGGGCTGAGAACATACAAATAAGTAAAGCATGTTACATGATTTTGAGAATATGCGAAACTAGAACTTTATATGATAGTATTTAATATCATCGTGGCTATAACAACTATTCATTCAACAATATTGAGCATCTACTCTTAGACACTGCCAGGTGCTGGGGGACACCCCAGTAGAGAATTCACATGTGATCCTCACTCTTACATTGACCCAGTACTGATAAGTAATATTAGTGCTTATAAAATTAGTGCTTATAAAGGAATAAAGGATAGTATAAGGATGCAAACTTAAATTGACTGATAACTAGGAGTATGCCAGTCACAAAGTAGAGAAAACACTATCTCAGACATAAATGAAAATTGCAAAGTGCTATAAAGAAGCTGAACAATTTTGTTTGGTGTCTGAGAGGGAGGGGAAGTGGTGAGTGATAAGGCTGAAGAGGAAGTAATAAACCAAGTCTTGGAGAACAGTGTTAAGTATCCCTGTGGATTTTGGACTTTATCCTAAGGAAGATGGGAAGCCACCTTGTTCTGAAACAGGAGAGCGAAATCATCTGATTTATGATTTTAGAGTGCAAGCTATAGTAGGGAAAATTAATTAAATGGAACTGTAATGGATCCTAGGGAACTTGATCCTGGTATTGCAGTAGTCTAGCCAAAAGTTGTTGAAAGCTTAGAATGCAAGGGCTGTGAAGAGCAAGAGAAATACATGGACTCAAGGCATATTTAGTGAGTAGAATTAATAGGCTTTGTTGATGAATTACACATGAGTGTTAGGCAAAATTTACATCTCAGTCTCTAGCAAAGCAACTGGCTGAATGCTGTTGTGTTTACCATTTACCAAGGTGGAGTAAACTGTGGGAGGTTTAGTGAGTCCAATTTTATACATACTTAGTTTGAGATGCCTGGAGAAAATTCAAGGGAAAATGCCAATTGAGTAGATCTGTCAGTGTCTAAAGGCCATGGGCAAGATATTTTATATATATATATGTATAAAATATATATATTATATATAATATACATATATTATATATAATATACATATATATGAATTCATATATATGTATATAATATATATATGTATTCATGTAGTGACCAATGATAATATGGTTATCATTATGGGAACATAAATGAACACAGGAAAAATGTTTCCAGTGAAGCTAGTAAAGTAACCTTACCAGGAAAGGCATGAGAAGTAAGGAAAACCCAGTACAGTGTGATATCATGGAATTCAATATAAAAAAAAAGTGTTTCAAAATGGAAGGGGTATCGACTACTGCTGAAGCAGGATTATCAATGAGCAGAATAAGAATAGATGTCTGGCCAGGCATGGTGGCTCACTCCTGTAATCCCAACACTGGGAGGCCAAGGTGGGAGGATCATGAGGTCAGGAGTTTGAGACCAGCCTGACCAACACAGCGAAACCCCGTCTCTACTAAAAATACAAAAAATTAGCTGGTCGTGGTGGCAGGCGCCTGTAATCCTAGCTACTTGGGAGGCTGAGGCAGCAGAATTGCTAGAACCTAGGAGGCAGAGGTTGCCGTGAGCCAAAATTGTGCCACTGCACTCCAGCCTGGGTGACAGAGCCAGACTCCGTCTCAAAAAGAAAAAAGAAAAGAATAGACGTCTATGGAAACCAAAGAGAAACTAAAGAATGGGCACCACAAATCCTTAAAGATACAAAAATCTCCCAACAATTCCATATTATGTAGAAGTCTATTAATGTCTACTGGTAAATAAACAACAATTTCATACATGTATCATCTATATGGCCTACTGACTTCTATCTATGTATATACGTATACTGACACCGTATCTTCTCTAAAGTATGGCATCATCCAGTAGTGCGATATTAAAGATAACATTGGTTATAATTATTTTCTTAACTTTGTGACAGCAAGGTAGAAATGTATGAAAATGTATTAAGTCTTTCAAAATAACAATAATGCTTTCAGGTATATGATATATCTGACAAAGAGAGTTTGTATATGCAATTAATCTATTTCTATACATTGATTTAGACACAGGGAAAGAAGATAATATAAGAGATACAACATAAAGAGGCTGTTTAAGTGTGGTATACACAATTTGGACATTTAGACACATCAAATGAGGTAATAAATGTGAAAGGAATGTATAAACTGCAAAGTGCTATGCGATTAATAATAGCGTAATGGATGTTAGTCATTCTTTTCTGCTGCCTGACATCTGAAAAACTGGCCTATGTTTAGGAAATTCACCACCTCATGAGTCTTGGAGCCTGAAAGTGCCAGATACTGTTTTCCCAGCCTCCCTGGCAACTAAGCTGTGAACTTGTGAGCCAGATATTAACTTATTGCCTCATTGCCTCTCAGCTCCAAATCTACTTTTCTTTGCCATGCTTTGTGATACTGGCATTGGATCGTGTAAAAATCCAGCTTCACCAGCTGGTAGAATCCTAGCTTCATCAATAGAAGGCACTGGAGTGACCCCACAAAGTGGTAGCAGCAAGAAGACATCTTCTTTGGGGTTTGGTCCTCTATTATTGTTTTTCCATGCAGGAGTCCAGTAGCTCACACTGAGGAGTTCTAGCAGCACCCACAGCAGACCACACTTCTCCCTAAACCATGACGGCTTGTAGGCATCTTCATCCCATGAGAACTATCTCCATCCCTCCAGAAACACACGGCTGCTAATATAAACTTTCACACTCTCCACACAACAGCAGCTTCTAATGCTACTGCTGGTTCACGCCCTCCACTCAACGCTGGGCACTTCTATAGATATGTTTGGGCCACCCACATCCCCAGGCAAAGGAAGGCCACTTCTAGAAGCTAGCAATGGCTTGTGACCTCTTTGCTGTTTGCAGACTGCACTCTCCTGGAGTAGCCACACTCTCTTTTAAGTCTAAATTTCAACCTTGGCAGGGAGCCTTCCCCCACTCTTTAATTCCTTATTGTTCATGCTTCCTCAGCCTAGAGATAGTAGCTGTTATTTTGCACTTGATATTACTGGACAGCTTAGAGTCCTCTTCTGTGCTTCTTAGTACTTAACCTCCTTCTTATTTTTTATTATACTTTAAGTTCTGGGATACATGTGCAGAACGTGCAGGTTTGTTGCATAGGTATACATGCGCCATGGTGGTTTGCTGCACCCATCGACCCATCATCTACATTAGGTATTTCTTCTAATGCTATCCTCCCCTTGTCCCCCACCCCCCGACAGGCCCTGGTTTGTGATATTCCCCTCCCTGTGCCCATATGTTTTTATTGTTCAACTCCCACTTATGAGTGAGAACATGCGGGGTTTGGTTTTCTGTTTCTGTGTTAGTTTGCTGAGAATGATGGTTTCCAGCTTCATCCATGTCCCTGCAAAGTACATGAACTCATTCTTTTTTTATGGCTGTATAGTATTCCATGGTGTATATGTGTTACATTTTCTTTATCCATTCTAACAATGATGAGCATTTGGGTTTGTTCCAAGTCTTTGCTATTGTGAATAGTGCTGCAATAAACATACGTGTGCAAGTGTCTTTATATTAGAATGATTTATAATCCTTTGGGTATATACCCAGTAATGAGATTGCTGGGTCAAATGGTATTTGTAGTTCTAGTTCCTTGAGGAATCGCCACACTGCCTTCCACAATGGTTGAACTAATTTACACTCCCACCAACAGTGTAAAAGTGTTCCTATTTCTCCACATCCTCTTGAGCATCTCTTGTTTCCTGATTTTTTAATGATCGCCATTCTAACTGGTGTGAGATGGTATCTCATTGTGGTTTTGATTTGCATTTCTCTAATGACCAGTGATGATGAGCTTTTTGCATATGTTTGTTGGCCGCATGAATGTCTTCTTTTGAAAAGCGTATGTTCATATATTTTGCCCATTTTTGATGGGGCTGTTTGTTTTTTTCTTGTAAATTTGTTTAAGTTCCTTGTAGATTCTGGATACTGGCCCTATGTCAGATGGATAGATTTCAAAAATTTTCTCCCATTCTGTAGGTTTTCTGTTTACTCTGATGATAGTTTCTTTTGCTGTGCAGAAGCTCTTTAGTTTAGTTAGATCCCATTTGTCTATTTTGACTTTTGTTGCCATTGCCTTTGGTGTTTTACTCATGAAGTCTTTGCCCAGGCCTGTGTTCTGAGGGTATTGCCTAGGTTTTCTTCTAGGGTTTTTATGGTTTTAGGTCTTACATTTAAATTTTTAATCCATCTTGAGTTAATCCTTGTATAAAGTTTAAGGAAGGGGTCAAGTTTCAGTTTTCTGCACATGGCTAGCCAGTTTTCCCAACACCATTTAGTAAATAGGGAATCCTTACCCCACTGCTTGTTTTTGGAAAGTTTGTCAAAGATCAGATGGTTCTAGATGTGTGGTGTTATTTCTGAGGACTCCGTTCTGTTCCATTGGTCTATATATGTGTTTTGGTACCTGTACCATGCTGTTTTGGTTACTGTAGCCTTGTAGCACAGTTTGAAGTCAGGTAGCGTGATGCCTCCAGCTTTGTTCTTTTTGCTTTGGATTGTCTTGGCTATACAGGCTCTTTTTCGGTTCCATATGAAATTTAAAGTAGTTTTTTCTAATTCTTTGAGGAAAGTCAAGGGTAACTTAATGGGAATAGCATTGAATCTGTAAATTATTTTGGGCAGTATGACTATTTTCACAATATTCATTCTTCTATCCATGAGCATGGAATGTTTTTCCATTTGTTTGTGTCCTCTCTTATTTCCTTGAGCAGTGGTTTGTAGTTCTCCTAGAAGAGATTCTTCACATCCCTTGAAGTTGTATTCCTAGGTATTTCATTCTCTTTGTAGCAATTGTGAATGGGAGTTAGCTCATTATTTGGCTCACTGTTTGTCTATTATTGGTGTATATGAATGCTTTGATTTTTGCACATTGATTTTGTATCCTGAGACTTTGCTGAAGTTGCTTATCAGCTTAAGGAGATTTTGGGCTGAGACGATGGGGTTTTCTAAATATACAATCATGTCATCTGCAAACAGAGATGAATTGACTTCCTCTCTTCCTATTTGAATACGCTTTATTTCTTTCTCTTGCCTGATTGCCCTGGCCAGAACTTCCAATACTATGTTGAAAAGGAGTGGTGAGAGAGGGCATCCTCGTCTTGTGCCGGTTTTCTAAGGGAATGCTTCCAGCTTTTGCCCACTCAGTATGATATTGGCTGTGGGTTTGTCATAAATAGCTCTTATTATTTTCAGACATGTTCTTATTATTTTCAGATATGTTCAATCAGTTCCTAGTTTATTGAGTGTTTTTAGCATGAAGAGGTGTTGAATTTCATTGAAGGCCTTTTCTGCATCTATTGAGATAATCATGTGGTTTTTGATATTGGTTCTGTTTATGTGATGGCTTACGTTAATTGATTTGTGTATGTTGAACCAGCCTCGTATCCCAGGGACAAAGCCCACTTGATCCAGGTGGATAAGCTTTTTAATGTGCTGCTTGATTCAGTTTGCCAGTATCTTATTGAGGATTTTTGCATTGATGTTCATCAGGTATATTGGCCTGAAATTTTCTTTTTTTGTTGTGTCTCTGCCAGGTTTTGGTATCTGGATGATGTTGACCTCATAAAATGAGTTAGGGAGGAAGGAGTCCTTCTTTTTCTATTGTTTGGAATAGTTTCAGAAGAAATGGCACCAGCTCCCCTTTGTACCTCTGGTAGAAATTGGGTCTGAATCTGTCTGGTCCTGGGCATTTTTGGGCTTTGTAGGCTATTAATTACTGCCTCAATTTCAGAACTTGTTGTTGGTTTATTCAGGGATTCAACTTCTTCCTGGTTTAGTCTTGGGAGGGTGTATATATTCAGTAATTTATCCATTTCCCCTAGATTTTCTAGTTTATTTGCATAGGTGTGTTTATAGTATTCTCTGATAGCAGTTTGTATTTCTGTGGAATGAGTGGTAATCTCCCCTTTATCATTTTTATTGCATTTATTTGATTCTTCTCTCTTTTCTTTTTTATTAGTTTGACTAGCAGTATATCAATTTTGTTAGTCTTTTCAAAAAACTAGCTCCCAGATTCACTGATTTTTTGAAGTGTTTTTCGTGTCTCTATCTCCTAAGGTTCAGCTCTGATCTTAGTTATTTCTTGTCTTCTGCTAGCTTTTGAATTTGTTTGCTCTTGCTTCTCTAGTTCTTCTAATTGTGATGTTAGAGTGTGGATTTTAGATCTTTCCCACTTTCTCCTGTGGCCATTTTAGTGCTATAAATTTTCCTCTAAACACTGCTTTAGCTGTGTCCCAGAGATTTTGGTATGTTGTGTCTTTGTTATCATTAGTTTCAAGGAACTTATTTATTTCTGCCTTAATTTCGTTATTTATCCAGCAGTGATTCAGGAGCAGGTTATTCAGTTTCCATGTAGTTGTGAGGTTTTGAGCGAGTTTCTTAATCCTGAGTTCTAATTTGATTGCACTGCAGTCTGAGACTGTTTGTTATAATTTCTGTTATTTTGCATTTGCTGAGGAGTGTTTTACTTCCAATTATACGGTCAATTTTAGAATAAGTGCTATGTGGTGCTTAGAAGAATGTATATTCTATTGCTTTGGGGTGGAGAGTTCTGTAGATGTCTATTAGATCTGCTTGGTCCAGAGCTGAGTTCAAGTCCTGAATATCCTTGTTAATTTTCTGTCTTGTTCATCTATCTAATATTGACAGTGGGGTGTTAAAGTCTCCCACTATTATTGTGTGGGAATCTAAGAACTTGTTTTATGAATCTGGATGCTTCTGTATTGGGTGCATATATATTTAGAATAATTAGCTCTTCTTGTTGCATTGATCCCTTTACCATTATGTAATGCCCTTCTTTGTCTTTTTTGATCTTTGTTGGTTTAAAATATGTTTTATCAGAGAATAGGATTGCAACCCCTGCTTCTTTTGCTTTCCATTTACTTGGTACATATTCCTGCATCCCTTTATTTTGAGCCTATGTGTGTCTTTGCACATGACATGGGTCTCCTGAATACAGCACACTGATAGGTCTTGATTCTATCCAGTTTGCCAGTCTGGGCCTTTTAATTGGGGCATTTAGCCCATTTACATTAAAGGTTAACGTTGTTATGTGTGAATTGGATCCTGTCATTATGATGCTAGCTCGTTATTTTGCCCATTAGTTGATGCTGTTCCTTCATAGTGTCGACTGTTTTTACATTTTGGTTTGTTTTTGCAGTGGCTGGTACTGGTTTTTCCTTTCCATATTTAGTGCTTCCTTCAGGAGCTCTTGTAAGGCAGGCCTGGTGGTGACAAAATCCCTCAGCATTTGCTTGTCTGTAAAGGATTTTATTTCGCCTTCACTTAAGAAGCTTAGTTTGGCTGGATATGAAATTCTGGGTTGAAAATTTTTTTCTTTAGGAATGTTGAATATTGGCCCCCACTCTCTTGTGGCTTGCAGGGTTTCTGCGTAGAGATCTGCTGTTAGTCTGATGGGCTTCCCTTTGTGGGCGACCTGCTTTATCTCTCTGGCTGCCCTTAACATTTTTTCCTTCATTTCAACCTTGGTGAATCTGATGATTATGTCTTGGGGTTGCTCTTCTCAAGGAGTATCTTTGTGGTGTTCTCTGTATTTCCTGAATTTGAATGTTGGCCTGTCTTGCTATGTTGGGGAATTTCTCCTGGATAATATTCTGAACAGTGTTTTCCAACTTGGTTCCATTCTCCCGTCACTTTCAGGTACACCAATCAGACATAGTCTTTTCACATAGTCCCATATTTCTTGAGGTTTTGTTCATTCCTTTTCATCCTTTTTTCTCTAATCTTGTCTTCATGCTTTATTTAATTAAGTTTATCTTCAATCTCTGATATCCTTTCTTCCGCTTGATGGATTCTGCTATTGATCCTGTGTATGCTTCATGAAGTTCTTGTGCTGTGTTTTTCAGCTCCATCAGGTCATTTATCTTCTTCTCTATACTGGTTATTCTAGTCAGCAATTCCTCTAACCTTTTTTCCAAGTTCTTAGCTTCCTTCCATTGGGTTATAACATGCTCCTTTAGCTTGAAGGAGTTTGTTATTACCCACCTTCTAAAGCCTACTTCTGTCAATTTGTCAAACTCATTCTCTGTCCAGTTATGTTTCCTTGCTGGCGAGGAGTTGTGTTTCTTCGGAGGAGAAGAGGCATTGTAGTTTTTGGCATTTTAAGCCTTTTTGCAATGGTTTTTCCTCATCTTTGTGGATTTATCTACCTTTGGTCTTTGCTGTTGGTGACCTTTGGATGGAGTTTTTGCTTGGTTGTCCTTTTTTTTAATGTTGATACTATTGCTTTCTGTTTTTTAGTTTTCCTTCTAACAGTCAGGTCCCACTTCTGCAGGTCTGCTGGAGATTGCTGGGGGTCCATTCCAGACCCTGTTTGCTTGGGTATCACCAGTGGAGGCTGCAGAACAGCAAAGATTGCTGCCTGCTCCTTCCTCTGGAAGCTTCGTTCCAGAGGGGGACCCACCAGATGCCAGCCAGAGCTCTCCTGTATGAGGTGTCTGTTGACCCCTGCTGGGAGGTGTCTCCACATCAGGTTCAGGGACCCACTTGAGGAAGAAGTCTGTCCCTTAGCAGAGCTCTAGTGCTGTGCTGGGAGATCTGCTGCTCTCTTCAGAGCTGGCAGGTGGGAACATTTAAGTTTGCTGAAGGTGCACCCACAGCTGCCCCTCCCCCCAGGTGCCCTGTGCGAAGGAGATGAGAGTTTTATCTATAAGCTCCTGACTGGGGCTTCTGCCTTTCTTTCAGAGATGCCTTGCCCAGAGAGGAGGAATCTAGAGACGCACTCTGGCTACTGTGGCTTTGAGGTGCTGCGGTGGGCTCCAC
This sequence comes from Homo sapiens, assembly GCF_000001405.40. Classification (NCBI taxonomy): domain Eukaryota; kingdom Metazoa; phylum Chordata; class Mammalia; order Primates; family Hominidae; genus Homo; species Homo sapiens. The sequence continues at coordinate 105,726,289 of NC_000011.10, read as the reverse complement.
TCAGTTTGTACTTCCCAGAGGGTTTGTTTATACTATGAGGGGAAAACCACCTACTCAAGCCTCAGTAATAGTGGACGCCCCTCTCCCCACCAAGCTCGAGCATCCCAAGTCTACTTTAGACTGCTGTGCTAGCAGTGAGAATTTCAAGCCAGTGGATCTTAGCTTGCTGGGCTCTATGGAGGTAGGATCCGCTGAGCAAGACCACTTGGCTCCCTGGCTTCAGCCTTTCCAGGGGAGTGAACGGTTCTGTCTCAATGGCATTGCAGGTGCCACTGGGGTATGAAAAAAAACTCCTGCAGCTAGCTCAGTGTCTGCCCAAAGAGCCACCCTGTTTTGTGCTTGAAACCCAGGGACCATGTAGTGTAGGCACCCGAGGGAATCTCCTGGTTTGTGGGTTGCAAAGACCATGGGCAAAGCATAGTATCTTGGCCAGATAGCACCATCCCTCACAGCACGATCCCTCATGGCTTCTCTTGGCTAGGGGAGGGAGTTGCCCGACCCTTGTGCTTCCCGGGTGAGGTGATGCCTCATCCTGCTTCAGCTTGCTCTCCATGGGCTGCACTCACTGTCTAATTAGTCCCAATGAGATGAACCGGTTTCCTCAGTTGCAAATGCAGAAATCACCCTCTTTCTGTGTTGGTCTCACTGGGAGCTGCAGACCAGAGCTGTTCCTATTCAGCCATCTTGCCCCTGCTTTCCAATCTCCTTCTTTTAATTAATGATTCTTTATATTAGTTTCCCCCCTGCAAATAAATCATGTGGTTTCGACACATGATGAGGTTTCTGACACCTATGATTATAGGTGCCCTCTATGGCTATAATCAGGTATTAGCTCCAGTGAATTCCAGGTGGGAGAGTCTGTATGCTATGTGCAAGGCTGAAACCAGGCAATGGCATGAGTGTCCTCACTTGCCATTCACGTTTGTGTTGTGAATTTGTGCAATGTTCATGTCTTTTTGTCCTAGATTTAGTTATCTAGTCCTCCAGAATATTCTGAGAATACTTAGAACTTTTTAATAAATTTATTTTTGACTCAGTGAGCCAGAATTAGATTTTGTTGCTTGCTACTAAGAATACAGATGATGAGAAATAGCTAATATTGCATGCTTAAACTGTTTCAATGCTTGAATTATTCTATATATTTAATTATTCTACATATATTATCATATTTAACAGGATATGAATGAATCCTCATACAAATCCTATAAAGTATTGATTATCCTCATTTTATAAATGAAGAAACTAAAGCTCAGAGAGATTAAGATTTGCTCAAGCTCACAGGACTAAGTAGTAGAGATGAGATTCAAATGCAAACATTGATTTCTAAATTTGGTGCTCTTAATTGAACATATAGACAACCTCTTCATTATTTTGGTAACAACAATGTAATCAAACAATGTTTTTTTCCCTCAACAACATAAAAATTATATTTGTCAACCCAGAAGAGAAAAATATATGACACATTATTAGTGTTTAGGCTCAAAGCTCAGCTTTTTAAAAAAAATTTATAAATTTAAGGGCTATAAGTACAATTTTGTTGCAGGGATATATTGCAGAGTGATGGTCTTGGCTTTTAGTGTATTCTTCACTCAAATAATGTACACTGCATTCATTAAGTAATTTCTTATCACCATCCCCTACTGCCCCCCAACCCTTTCAAATCACCAGTGTCTATCATTTCATGCTCTATGTCCATGTATACACACTATTTAGCTCCCACTTATAAGTGAGAGCATGTAGTATTTGATTTTCTGTTTCTGAGTTGTTTGAGTTCAGATAATGGTCTCCACTTCCATCCATATTGCTGTGAAAGATGTGATTTCATTGATTTCATTCTTTATCATGGCTGAATAGTATTCCAATGTGTGTGTGTTTGTGTGCACATATATATATGTGTGTGTGTGTGTGTGTATATATAATGGTGTGTGTGTATCCATCTATCTATCTATCTATGTATATATATATGTCACATTTTATTTATCTAATTGTCCTTTTATGGACACTTAGGTTATTGATTCTGTCCCTATCTTTGCCATGGTAAATATCACTGCAATAAACTTATTAGTGCATATCATTTATATAATGATATAAAAAAGACAACTGCACTTGTATGTTTATTGGGTAAATATCCAGTAGTGGGATTGCTAGATTGAACGGTAGTTCTGGTTTTAGTTCTTTGGGAATCTCCATACTGTTCTCTATAGACGTCATATGAATTTACATTCCCACCAACACTGTATGAGCATTCCCTTTTCTCTGCATCCTTCCCAACATCTGTTATTTTCTGACTTTTTAATAGTAGTCATTTTGACTGGTGTCAGATGATATTTCACTGCAATTTTAACTTGCATTTCTCTAATTATTAGTGATGTTGAGCATTTTTTCATGTTTGTTGGCTATTTGTATGTCTTCTTTTGAAAAATGTCCATTATTTGTTTTGTTGTTGGTGACGCTGCATTGAGTTCATTATAAATTCAGAGGTCAAGTTTTATTGAGCCTTAGGACCAAACTGAATCAATTACTTCCCTGGGTATCTTGTTCTCATCACTTTCTACTTACTGTTCATAGTTACACATGCACACAAATTTGATATATTAGGAAGTTGAAGCGAGCAATGATTAGTTCTCTCTCCAGTGAATGGTCTAGATCAAGGATGACGAGGAAGCTGAGGTTAAGACTAATTCATGCCAAAATTAAGGGAAATAAATTAGTAGGGAAGTAAGAATCCTATATTATGTTTGTCTGAATTTTTTCCTTCCTAGAATTTAGACATCCTAACTCTCCAATTTGTCCTTTCCAACATTATCTCATTGAATTGCCATAAATGCTGACCAATCGTTATTTTACATCAGATATGCTGATATATTTTATTCTGGAAAAAAACCATAAAATTTATATTTTTATTTTAAAAGTGTAATGACCTAATTCAGTAAGTTATTATTTAAGGATATTGGTTCAAACGACAGTTCAAGGCAGCTAAATGCTCAATCTCTGGACCATTTTAAATAAAATAATGTTTTAAAGAATTTAAAGAGCCCATTACACTCAGCTACATTTTAAAATTGCGTAATTTGATTAAATTGACATTTAAATGTCAAGTACTTTTCCAGCATTTCCTTTCTCATTGATTGCTCACTGCTGAGATGTTTGTATGTAATTAGGAGGGTTTTTTCCCCCTTTCCTTTTTAGCCAGCGGTCTACTTCTTCAACTTTACCCATCGGCAAGTCCCAAGGTCCAGTTGTGTTCTTCCTAGAATTAATTGTGGGATCACTAAAACTGATTTTCATTATCACTAAAAGTTCAAATATTTAGTTAAGTAAAAATCATTTAAAAGAAAAAATATTCACTTAAGTCAACTTACAGACGTCACAAATCTTTAGTATGCGATTATTAGTTTGGCGATAATATTATTTCACTGTAAAAATGCCTAGACTATGTAAATTTGGTGGAAGAGATTAAATCTTAAATATTTATCTAAATTTTTACTTATTTTATGTATGTAATACAATGGACATGGAGTATATTTACATCTTAATAAAATACATATACCATTATATGTATATACATGTATAACAAAACTAAAATATAATTGCAGAAAAGCACATTAAATTTTACCATTTTAACCTTAGAAAGTAGAGAAGGTATTAAAGAAATAGTAGTATCAGTAAAGTTATGATGAGATGGGAACTTTTGCTCACTATTGATAAAAACATGAATTGGTACAACCTTTAAGGAACAAATTTATGACTACCTATGCGGAGTCCTAAATTTTTTATCAGGTAACTTCTGGTAAATGATTCTAAAAGCCTAGTACAGATGCTTCTCTACTTACAATTGGGTTATGTCTCCACAAACCGATTATAAGTAGAACAAATCATAAGTTGAAAATGCACTTACTACTCCAATAACCCCATTGTAAGACTGAAAAATGTTGAGTTGTACCACTGTAAGTCCAGATGCTCCTCAACTTACAATGAGCCTACATAACAATAAGCTTATCATAATTCACAAACATCATAAGTTGAAAATGAAATTAATACCCTGATAAACCCATCATAAAGTGGAAGAATGGTTAAGTCCAACCACAAAAAGTCAGGGACTGTCTGTATACAGAAATATTCTTACCTCAATAATATAGCAGTAGAGGGAAATTAGCACCATCTGATTTTTAACTATGGAAAGGTTTCACAATTTCATAGTTACATATAAAACATGATTTCAAATTAGGAAAGAGAACAGAGAACATGTTTTAAGATATCAAGAATAGCTATTTCTGAGAACAAGTATACATATGATTTATATATATTCTTTTATAATTTCCAGCTTGCGTTAGATTTACTGCAATTGACATTTACTACCATTATAGTCAAGAAAAAATTAAGCCTTATTTTGAGTGCAGGAAGATAATGCCTGGTTTTTCTACAAAAAGCAAACAGTCTTTGAGCTAAGACCAATTGCTGTCCAATCACAGGCCATGGAAGCTCCTCATGCCCAATATTGATGACTGGGAGGATGAGATTTACCCTGCTGTGGGAATAGCTGAGGGAAGAATGTTCCACGCAGAAGGGAGATAATATAAAGTTCAGGATTAATAATTGCACAAGTAATTTGTGTAATTGCTTGTTTAATTAAGTTTTTCTGTTCTGTTTGGTTGCAAACCCTGCTAGGGCAGGATCTTTGGCAGGAATCTCTCTTTGGCATTTGTACAGTGCTTTGCACTATTAATATATGTAAAATCAATGAAACAAATCCAATTATAGAATATCCTTTAGTATGTTTGTTTGAGTCCAGGCTCAGAGATCATTTTTGTAAACAACAAAACATATTCCTGAATGTTATGGTAATAATTAAAATTAAACTGTAAGAATCCTTGAATCTCATTATTTCCCCAGCCAGTCTGTGAGAATGGAGGAGACAGGTGAAAGGGAAATGAAAATTCAAGCAGAGGAGAACAGGAAGGGGAGGGGCATTCTCGGGTCTTAAGTGCTACTCGGAAATAAACTTAAGCCAATAACAGAAAAACTGAAATATTATCCCTCTTCAAAATCTTTCCACCTCCTTAGTGATCCGTTCCTAAAATAGTTATTTTTGCAATGAATCTCTCAAGATTCTTTAATTAGCAAAAGAGATTGCGTAGATATTAAAAACCCCAAAACATAGGGCCCAAATCATGGTGTGACCAGCTAGATGAAAAATAGGGAGCAAGCCACAATATAGGAACAAGGCTCTGATCCCAGGAAGAAGGACCCAAAACCACTTAACACTGTCCATGAGCATATATTCATCAAGTTAGGCAGCCCCATTCCCACTTGACTTCTGGGAACCAACAGCCTTTCTATTAAAACATTAGATAAAGTCTGGGGGCCATGGGGTATTGAATAGCTTAAATCAAATAATCTCAAAATATTAATTATTCCTGCTATACCTAGGGGGACTGGGGGACACTATTCCGAATGAGCAGCCAATTGGTCTGCAGCCTGAATCTGTGATGCTGCACAATCCTGCAGTTTCTCTGTGATATGACAGGTTGGAGATTTATCTACTCAACCCATTTGCACACTCCTTATAAATGTGGATGGCCATTTGACAATGAAGGAAGCAAGACGTGTATTAATGCACTAATTTATAACATAAACGTCTAAGGGATCAAGCAAATAAAGTGAATGACTGAAGCAATTTGACTGTAAAGTCAAGAACTAGCCCTTTCTTACACTGGTTGGTCCTTAATGGCATCATAAATTGCGCTTTTTAGCTATGGACATATTTTGTTTATACATTCTTCATTTCTACCAAGAAATATACATTTTCACATCTTTTGAGAAACCCATCATTTCATAGGCCACATATTTTCTTTTCTCGGTTTGGATAGAATCACAGATACAAGAAAGATTTCCATTTTGTTTTAAGTCTCCTTGTATACATAAAACCACAGTTCAGCAATGATGAAGGGTGGCACAGCTCCTGGCAGGCTGCAAACTGCTTGGCTGTCTGAGGCTGTTTGCTGCTGCTCTGCCAGTGATTGCTATGTAGACACGTGGGCCCAGCAAAGTTGCATCTTACATGTTCTGGGAAAAGCCAGAAAAAAAACATGAAATTTTATGAGGAAATTCACAATTTAAAAATGGTAGCTTCTTATTTTTAGGAAAGTACTTTTGGCTAAAAAAAAAAAATACTGGTTTAGAGATCAAAGTTGGCATATTGACACATTTTTACCCCTTGAATGCAGACAAGCAGAAGAGGTACTTTTCACAGATGGCAAGTGAATACATTTTGCAATACATTAAAAATTAAAATACAATAATTAGTACTACTGCTGAGGGATCTTATGATGAAATAGGCTGAGTGAAAGACCAATTGGCAGGATATTTTACAGTAATGTGAGCAAATGTGATCTGTAAGAGTGTTAGTTGCTGTGAAAAATACAGTATAGAAAAGGAAACTCACCACATTTGTAATTTCAGTCGCCATTTTTGGGAAAAATTTTCATGCCAACTCAGGCTTTTTTTTTTTTCCCAATCATTGACTTTCCCTATAGAGCCTGAACGCATCTGAGTCACTGGTAAAGAAAAAGCTGACCTCCACCTTTATAGTATGTACTTATGTCCCTTTACTCAGGGACTTCACGGAGAAAAGCCCCATGAGTCATGAGGCTTCAGAGTCATTAGTTTTCAGAATGAACTGAGCATACATGTTTATTTAAAAACCAAGCTCTGCTTTGAGTGACTGTAGGGTCCTGCTGCCTGCTGTGTCATATCCTGGACTACATAAGCTCAGCCGCTGCTCTAAGTGGCTCTTAATTATACACGCATTTTGTCAGCTCAGATTTCTCCAATGACCTGTTTCTAATATTCAGAAAATTTAAAGCAGACATATGCACAAAGAAAGATTACTAATTTGATGAGAGGAATGTCCACCAATGATCGGGAATCTTAATCTCCCAAAACATAGCCAGCCGCTCGTGGGACAACTTTATGTTTACCTAATCGCTCCGATAGTTCCTAATGCCAATCACAATTCTGTCCAGCAAACACAATGAGTGATTGGGAAAATGGGGAACCCTATTGAGTTGTCCCTGTCTTTAGAGTGAAAAATAGAACTCTTTGTAGCACTTACCGAACTCTCAATTTAAAAATTGAGTGCTAAGATCAGGTACGAATGCCTGAAGAAGCTCAGATTGTCCATTCTAGAAATCAACACTGTATAGTTAAAATGTCAGCAGTCACCTTCCTTTTAAATTTAAAAAAAACAAGAGAGAGAGATCAGCTTTTTAAGAATAAGTGCTTCGTGTTAATGCCTCAGATCTGGAGCTCCACGGCATAACTCTGATGTAAGCTCATTCATGCCTGACTCCCTACCTTGTTTCCCCTGGCTTGTTCCAAACTCCTAAGTAAGCAGCTGATTGGAATTGACAAGAATCCTGCTCAAGGAGCCTCAGCAAGCACAAATCTTTTCCATTTCAATACTCTGGTAGCTCAAAGGAATGAGCTGCCAAGGGAGCAGTGGAATGGAAAATCATGCGTGCATTCCCTCTCCTTCCGTGAGTATCCACATTAACAGTAAACTTTGGCCTTCAAGTAGCTCCTTTTAGGAGGTGTTCCTTAACTAGGTCGAGACACCACCATTACCACCATGAACCCAATGCATGTGTTAGGTAATTGTTCCACCTACAGTGGACTGAAATTAGTTTCCTCATTCTTTTCTATTTGTAGTATCATGAGACAGCAATCGTTTTCTGTTGTAATTTATATGGGTTTTAAGGTCTTTGAATGCTTCTCCACCTCCCTCAAATATCCATCCATTTATTCATCCAGTGAATCAAATTTGTTGACATTTGCTTTACGCAAAGCATCACAACAGCTGAGGTGGGAGGAGATTGTGCTTATGGTACGATAATATTGGTACCTTTGTCTGGAGCCTCACTCTCCATTACAGGCATCAGTCATCTGTGAATTAAACCAAGGATCTAAACATGCCCCCTTAAAATAATTACACTAATGAAAGCTTGGAAGAGCTTAATTGGCTGATCCTCAGTCAGTGCTACACATGTAGTCTATATACTTGTGTGACCACACCTAATTCTATACATTGGCTTCATAGGTTGTTCTAGCCTTAAATATTTTAAGACTCAGTGTTTACTTTTTCCATATTCTGGGCTTATGTTTGAGGTGAGCCATAGTAAATAATTTTGGTTTTAATTTTAGAGCACTGTTAGCCAACCAATGATCCATTTCTTTTTTCAAGAGAACAAAGCCTCATTGTTCAGTTCCCACCTATGAGTGAGAATATGCGGTGTTTGGTTTTTTGTTCTTGCATAGTTTACTGAGAATGATGATTTCCAATTTCATCCATGTCCCTACAAAGGGCATGAACTCATCATTTTTTATGGCTGCATAGTATTCCATGGGGACTGTTGTGGGGTGGGGGGAGGGGGGAGGGATAGCATTGGGAGATATACCTAATGCTAGATGACGAGTTAGTGGGTGCAGCGCACCAGCATGACACATGTATACATATGTAACTAACCTGCACATTGTGCACATGTACCCTAAAACTTAAAGTATAATAATAATAAATAAAAAAAAAGAAAAAAGAGAGAACAAAGGCTGTACTTAAAAATCTTCGTTTAACTCTATGTTATGTCTTTTCTTTGTTGTAAGTCATTGCAAGACGACTTGAAAGTTGGGAAAATTTATTACCATTGGAATTTGTACTTCTCTCCCCTGGAATGACTATTCCTCCCTTCCAAGAAAAAAAAAACTTGTAAGAATGTCTTTTTAGAAATTCAGAAACATATATCATGGGATTAATTAAAGAGTCTCACTGAGACAGAATCTTGCTTTTGGAGAGATAGTGAGATTTAGCTTTATTTCTTGTTGTCTAAGGGCGTATAATTAAGAGTTTGCTAAGAAAATAACTGCTAGAGTGGCTTAGGTAGGAGCAGAATTCCCATTAAGATTTTTTTTTTCTTTTTATGCTTTTAGGGCAAATATGGTATATTTATAGTCACAGAGAAAAATTAGCTGGTATGGAGCTTGCCATGCTCTGAAATGAAAGAATGAATTTTAAAAGGTGGTTTATGAAACTGGACATGCTTGGACTGGGATTTCAGGAATTCTTAGCTCCAATCCACCTTTTCTAGTGACTCATTCTATGGAGATGAAGATAATGTTAACCTCATTTTCAACATAAGGGGAAAATATTCACTTGTTTGGGATATTCTGAAGATTAATGAATAAGTTATCACGGAGGACTTTGCTAAGATAAACCTCCATGTAACACTGAATAATAAGGATTGCAGAGAGTAAGAAAAGGCAAAGACTCAGTTTCTCCTTTTTTCTTTTTTTATGGATTAGAGCAACTGCCTATCAAGTTGTAAAACGTGAGAACAATTTGCTCTTCTAAAAGTAAGGCATCGAGGTAATTTAAATTATAATATAGTATATTCTCTAGTTAAAGATTAGAGTCCATCTGAGAGTGAAGTTTTTGATCATTCCCCACTTTTACATAATGTTTGCCCCCTGCTACATACCGATGTTTCTGCTGAGTTATGAAACTTCATAATAGGATGTGTCTAGAGAAAATGGTTAAATTGATGTTAAGTGCAAACTATTCTTCTCTAGGGAATTATATTGCTTGCATTGATACGTTGTTAATGATGTATAGAGTTTTCTGTACAGTGATGATGTGTAGCTTAGGAGTCTCTGCAAAACTGTCCACCAATTGCTTTCTAACCAGAGTTATCAGAAATAGGACAGCACACTGTGTTACAACTTAGATAATTTAGGTTTTCAGTGATTGTGATACATTTTATTTTAGGAAACTAAATTTTTCATTCCATTTTAACCACTGTATTATCATTTAAAATTGTTCAAATTAAGGAACTTGAGAATACAGTTATAAATAAAACAACTAAAAGTAATTTGAATTATATACATTATCAAATAAGCTAGAAGTAAGTATATTACTTTACTATGTAAATAGGAGCTGTTTTATTTCTTTCTTCTGTGTTATTGCAAAATTTACATTTAATAGTAGCTAAAATGTGTTCCACAAGATATAATGGTTTCTTGTCAATCTGGGATCCTTCAATTCATTCCAAAACCTCTGTATGTGTTTATAGATAAGTTCTTGCATATGTGAAAAAAGGGTTGGTTGCAGTGGATAAGAAACTTTTAAACTTTTAGGGAAATTACAGTCATGTCTAATATAAAATTATGCTTTTTACTATGCCAAGGCTAATTGCATTTTAGTTTGTTATTTTTAATGTTTGTAACAGAGCCCTGTATGTCTACTTTCCTCTTCTTCCTGGGCCTCACTTGCAATTAGTTGCAGCTGAGTGATTAAGTCTTTCCCGTTGGGCATTGAGTAGAAATAACGTGGGCCATTTTCAGGCCTGACACATTTCACCTACAGTGTGTACTTTGTACTTGTTTTCCTGTTAGCCGAAGGCAGATGACATGGATGCTTTAAAGGATGGTAGCGCCACGAGATGAAGGGACCCTGGGTCCCTTAAGACAAAGTGGAGAGAAACCCCAACCCCATTGAATTGAAAACCCACTGTAGAGTTATGACTTCTCCTTTAATCATCCTTAATTCTTTGGGTCATTTTGTTACTGCAGCTTAGCCTATTCTAACTAGTACAGAATTACATTCTTTAAAATCCTTTTTGCTCGTCTAATACACAAATATATTCTATTATCTAAAAACTGGCTCAAATTTGGTATTTTCTGTAGCCTTTCTTAATCTTTTGTATTGATATTAATGACCTCTTCCTGGTCTGACTTCTTGTACTAATCATTTGACTATTAATGAGAGAGCAACATCTATCTGTAGGCTTCTTGGTCATCAAAACAAAAAGGGAAACATAGACAGTTACATAATTTTATTTTCAGTGGGGATTAAGCATAACAGGTCCTGGTTGGAGGTTAAAGATATATCTCTAGTACTAAATTCTAAAAGATGTTTCAAACATAAGACTTAATATAGGGAAGGTAGTCATATAATAGAAAATGTCCTCAACAACGTGCCTTCAGCAAGTGTAATGAAAAGATGTAATAGTATGGTTACAGCATCTTTTGATTATGACCATTGTCATGATTGGCAACTCCTCAGAATGCTAAGGTAACATGTAGCAAATAAGTGATTGCTGTTTATTGACTACGCTGATTTACACTGATTTGAAAGTCCACTTTTAGAAATTCTCCATAAGATATAATCGCTGTTTTTTTCAGATTTTTAAAATGATGATTTTGTTGCAATCAATTGTGATTGTTATTGCCATCAAGTCTGGCCTTGACTGTAGATTCACAGTTACTGGTTGAAGGTGAAGCTCTTACACTGGAGACCAGAAAAGCTGATGGTTTGACTGTCATCCTTTTGTGGACATTAGTGAACCTAACCTAGACCCTTTACTAATCGAAGTCTCTCAGAGACACCTGCAGAAACAGCCAGAACACACACACACACGAACACACACACACACTCTTCTGGGTCTGTCCCAACTGAAGACCTAAAACGGCTAAAGATCAAATAATTATTCTGTTCAGTATAATTAATTTACATTTCTAAAACAGATGTTGTCATCATAATTTAATAAATATCTTTATTGGCCTGTCTCGTTTCAGCAATATAGGGTCTTGGTGAATCTGAATAATATAATTATTTGAAAATATATCTCCTAAGATGATTTTACTAGAAATGAATCCATTACATTTTGTAAGATAATTGATGTTTTATAATAAAGTATACTCAAGTCTTAAGCATGATAATATTTAGGCAACAAAATCAACTGTTCGTTGAGGTCATAGTTACTTTCAGACAGAATGGATATATCATTTTATGATGGAGACTTATTCACTTATTTATTGTAGGGAAGCATTCAACCAAATTATCTCAAAGTGATATCAGATTGTTAAAATATTAAGAAATTTAAAACAGTGTGATTTGATGATACATACTCTCTAGCAGAATTTTTTCACATGAAAATTGCACTAGTAACTTTGAGTTTCAATTATATATATTGATTTTTTTTTTTGTTTTTCAAAATTTAAAATATTTCTGGTTAATTTTTATAATATTTTAGTTTAAAAATTACTAAACAGTCTTGACATCATCAAGTTTTGAGAAGCAAAACCATTAATTTTATATCTCAAAGCAGTCTCTAAATAATATTTCCATAAATATAAATGTGGAAGTTGAGGCATAAATCCCACAATTCTCACCTACAAGCCCCCAATATATTTTGTAAAACCTAAATCCTATAGATCCTGCCTCAAAGCGTCTCTAAGTTTAGTAGTTTCTAGATTATTGTGGTAACAAACAAAATTAGCTGAGCACAGCTGTACTCACTGAAGAGCCGCTGAAGGTCTACAGTCTGCCAGCACACACAGAAGTGTTTCCTTGCAGCTGTACCCACTACTGGTCCTCTGGGTCTGTTGTTAATTATTTTTGAATTGTCCTTTTGTTACTTCAATGGCCTCAAGCTACTTTAAAATTTCCATTCTGGACCTATTTGTGCATCTTTAAAATATTTGTGCTGTTAATTAGCATATATTAATTAATAATTTCTGAACTATGTTCCTGAAGTAATTTAACAACAATCCCAAATTAAAAACTTTCTTGTACAAGGTAGAAAAGCTTGTAGTTGAAAATTGATTGAAAGCTTTTATCCCCACAAATCACACAGGAAAGGGCAAAAACTTTCAGGTAAAATTGGAATGTATAATGCATGATAGTGTTTCTCTAAATTAAGCATTGCTTTTATCTGTAAAAGCATTAAAGAAAAATCTGGAAAAGATCCCATAATTCCATCATTTTGACAAGTAATTTCATTTTATAAATTTCCTTTGAGTATGTGTCCATATGTGCAGAAATAAATGTATTCAGAATTTCAGAATTTTTTTTTTTTTGAGATGCAGTTCAATCTGTCTTCCTGGCTGGGGTGCAGTGGTGCAATCTCAGCTCACTGCAGCCTCCACCTCTCAGGTTCAAGTCATTTCCTGCCTCAGCGTCCTACGTAGCTGGGATTAAAAGCAGGCACCACGACGCCCAGCTAATTTTTGTATTTTTAGTAGAGACAGCGTTTCACCATGTTGGCTAGGCTGGTCTTGATCTCCTGACCTCAAGTGATCCACCTGCCTAACCCTCTCAAATTGCTGGAATTACAGGAGTGAGTCACTGTGCCTGGCCTGTATTCAGAATTATTATTTTTTATATTATACTGCAATATCAACCTACCATGACTTAATAGAAGAGTTTTGTTTAGAGTTCTAAAGATAAATGCAGATTTTTATATCTCCATTATGATATTCAATATCTCATCATGTATTAAAAGCATTGGGTAATATGCAGCCTTTGTATGAGATATTTAAATTAAATATGTGGTTTCCCTTTATTAAATCCTTTTTGCTGAGCTCTTTATATTTTTTTTCTTTTTTTTCCACATTGGGCTCATACTTTTGAGCTTTCACTAGTTATGAGGAATGGCCTAAGGCCAAATGTACTTTTAAATCTGGGCTGCAATGATTTATTTATGGGCAATTTACTTAAAGCTTTCTCTATATTAAAAAAAACAAAAACAAAGCAAAACAAAAACAAAAACAAAACAAAACAAAACACCTATGTGAAACGGATTCACTAAGCATGGTAAAAGAAACAAGGAAACATAATTTTAAAAATTATGCACAAAAAATAGGATAGGCTGAAATGTTGTAATAATCCCTTTGAAAAGTAAATTTGAATTTCCTTTGCAATTTTCATTTATTTGGGGAAACTTTTTCATTATCTTATCCCTTTTCCATTTATATGGTATTATTCTAAGTAAGATAAAAAATTAGTAAAGGACTGACAAAGCATGAATAAGAATATATATATCTATATCTATATATAGATAGATCCTTTCACTTTTCTTGAGTTTATCCTCACTATCTGACTAATATAACAACAGCTTTCTCTTTTTATACACAGAGACTTCGCTTTACACAGTTTCATTTAAACTAAGGACATCAGTTCTCTACCATGGAGAAAAATCCATCCTGTTTTCCACTGTCTTGCTATGAGATTTTGGCTATGAAAAAGCAAATGCCAAAATATGCATTCATTGGTTGAGGTTGTCCTTCCAGATAAATTACAGTGAGCTGTACCTATTTACATATTTATTTATAATAACAATTTCATATATCTATATAATGATTAATAACCTTTAACATACATAAATACATAAATTTTAAACATACAAAATTTAAAGATTTTAAATTTAATCTTCTCAAAAACTCTATCATAGAGAGAAAGAGAAAGATATTTAGACATTTATTTCCTGCCAATTATTTTCAACAATATTTTACATTTAATTCTCACAAAGTAAGTGTTGTGGTATTCACATTTCCAGAGGGTGAAAGAGGAAGTTAGAGAGGTTTTAATAACTTGCCCAAGATCATAATTTTGATAGATTCCTGAGCCAGAATGGAATTGAGCCTCAAGGCCTACTTGATTCCCAACATTAAGGACAGGTGCCACACTTTAAAAATGATGTAGCCACAACATTACTTATAATGTCTTGGACATGGAACATGATTAATCAATGTTGATTTAACTGAAATAACTCCTCTCCACTTCCCTATGTCACCATTCATGTAATTTCATCATAATTTCACTCAAAGAGATAGTGTTCAATGTGAGAGTATTTTATTTTCAAAGATCAGTCGCTCTTGGGTTCATTTACAGGTTATTTCGCCGGTGAGAGTATACAGATGGAATTCATATAAATCAAGTTCTATAATCAGAGCAAACATTTGAACAAACTCAGACACAGTATGTTCTATCATATGAAGGAATAATTTTTTTTCTTTTTTTAAATTTTATTATTATAATACTTTAAGGTTTAGGGTACATGTGCACAGCGTGCAGGTTTGTTACATAAGTATACATGTGCCATGTTGGTGTGCTGCACCCATTAACTCGTCATTTAGCATTAGGTATATCTCCTAATGCTATCCCTCCCCTCTCCCCCGACTCATAGGTGGGAACTGAACAATGAGAACACATGGACACAGGAAGGGGAACATCATACACCAGGAATAATTTTTAAAAAATATTTTTAAATGTTGTCTTTGGAACCCAACTAGGTTTGATCCAGATCAGGTGAATAATAATACATTATATTTCTTACCACATAGCTAAAACTTATTCACCTAATCTGTAAATTATTGTATACTTTTATGATAATTATATTTGCTTTAGCAATGATTCACTACCTTGGTATTTACGATCTTCAAACAAATTAACTAATTAATTTTTCTTAATGGCTCCACCAAGAAAAAAAATAATTCTGAGATTTTATTGCTAGGGCTTACCTTATTTAGTTTTTGTTTCCTAATAAAATAGTAGGAAACAAAAATGAAAATATAACCCATTTGTGTATTTAATATTTGCTAAATATCATCCATTCATTTTGTGAAAACACACATACTGGATACCATACTTGGTTTTGCAACTATTTCAGTTAATTTTCCATGAATTTTATTAGTCAAGTCTTTGACTCCCTTTTACACTCTAGGGAAATGAGGCTTCAATAATTTATGCCTATTGTTAGGGTTCACAGACTTGTTATTGGCTAAGTGGCAGCACTGAAATTTGAACCCACAACTAGCTTGTCCAAGGCCCATTCTCTTTCTCCAGATGTTTTGTATATAAACTAATATTGAATAAATCTACCAAACTTCAAACAGAAAATATCTAAATGTATGCCTAACATTTCACATCTAAGATACTCATGTCTCTTTTTTTGACATTTATATATAAAATAAAGGAGAAAACTGGTGGCAATTCTTTCTATATTTCAAATAGAATACTTGCTGTGGTGGTGGCTCAGGGGCCAGGGATTTTTCTGACAATGTAATGTGAGAACAGAACTCATTTTAAGGGTCTCTTCCATGACATACCTGAGGCCATTACTGCTTCCTACATATCACTAATCTACAAAGAGATAGCCTATGAAGTAGGAAAAGGTGTTTCTTTTTACTACAGAGATTAAACCAGAATGAACAGAACTTCTCACACCCTGACCCCAGGTCTCACGAGGACATGTATCGCAGCAAGGTAAGCTGGCCTGCAAATGTGAATTTCATCAAGGTAAAACTAGTTTCTCTGTGGATATAATTTGATTATCTGACCCTAATAATATAATAAGAAATAATAAACAAATAAAATAATAAAAGACTTCACTAAGGATATGCTACATGCTTGGGATTGCAGTACTGATGAATTGAGAATCTTAAATTAGTGGATAATTATCCCTAAAACTTTGTCTCCTCCAATTTATCCTGTTGTTAATACAAGGCAAGATCAACCACTTGTACATCAGCCCACAAATCTGGGTATCTTCCTTAAACCTCCTTCTACTCTCTTCAGAATCCATTGTTTCTCATCTGATACTGATCCTCAAATTCTGTTGATTCACAATTTTTCTTGTAATCTACGTACTGCCTCCACATCTTCCTGTCTTCACTATCAACATCTTAATGGAGGTGGTAGTATCAAACCTCCACCAATACCTATCCCTTTTTCTTCCCTCTCTTCCTGTCTGCCTCCCACCTCCTCCTCCTGGGTGTCTCATGTTTTTGCATGTGGCAGAAATACCGCAGAAGTGATGCTGTACCCTTCTCAGTGTGGAGGAATGTCATGCCTGTATGTCTTATTACTGGTGGTGTTACCTTCAATTACGTGGTTAAGATGGTGTCCACCAGGTTTCTCCACTGTTAAGTTACTATTTTCCCTTTAATAATTAAAAGGCATTTTATGAAGAAATGCTTTGAGACTATATAAATTTATGTTTCTCATTATACATTCACCTATTAATTTTAGCATCCATTGATGATTCTTTCCTGCAGCAATTATGACTGTGATATTTACCTAATGATGATTTTCTGTTTCCCTTCCATCCTTCTACATTATTCATTGGAAGTTTACCATATGGAAAAGCTGGAGCTTCTCCTCCATCTATTTATTTATTCACTTATTTACTTATATCAATTTGGGCTCATAGGCATTGATTTTTATTTTATGGTAATAACACATTATGACCACTATTTAATTTTTTTACTCACGGTGTCCCAGAGCTACTCATTTGTAGCTCCTGAATCCTTTCCATATGCTTTTCCCAATCATTTCATAAGCATTTCCTTATTTTCTGACACCACAAGATTGTCCTTTATCATCTTATATTTTCCCTGCCTCAGATATAATCAGCCATTTTACTAAGAAGCCCTGGCTTTTTTAATTGGAGAATGGATGCCAAGTGTGTTCATCATTACTGGAATGTTCTTGGAATGTCCACATTATGTGTAGATACTTACACACACATCTACACATCTACATTTACTTCATTTACTACATTTACTTCAACATCTAAAATTCAATCTCTATATTAAATATTAATATTAAGTCTATATTAAATATCTATATTAAAAACTATGAACTCATTCTTATTTCAACCCAACACAGGAGTGCTTATTCTAGCCTTTCCTCTTTTTTTTATTTGCAACTTCTCTCTCCAACAGTGGGAAACCTGGTCCTTATCATCCATAATATTTTTACTTATTTGCTCAATGTTGGTATACATATAAAGTAGTTACAGAATTGCTAACCAATACACTTAGACAAAATTATTAACTAGTGTACCGTATCTGGGTATGGTAACCAATCAAAATATCAAATAATATTTTCCCAAATTACCTAAGTTCTTTTCTTCTCTAATAACATATGAACCTAACTGTATTACAAATAAACAACATAACCATGGAGTTATTTGTAATATAGTTAGGTTCATATGTTATTATTTGTTTTTCATTTTAGCTTCTCTCTACATTCTGGTTGGTTGTTTTTATGGAGGAAATGTTATAAAGGGCAGTGTATTACAGAAAAGTATACTGAAAGAAGTATCATTCTTTTCACATTCTTTCATTTCCATTCCCAGCCACCCTATGTTGATAACAAATCTCATTTGTTTCTGGTATTTGTTTTGAAGAGATGAGTGGATGAATGTATACTTTCTCATTCCCCCTTTATTACACGAAGGACAGCATACTATTGTTACTCCTTTAAAATTTTTTCTAAAATGCAAAAATGTCTTTTTGTCCAAAAGTACAAAATAAGTTATCTGGATGATGATGGCATCAAATCATTATTATGTTATCCACTGAAACTGGTAACTGATGGTTACAGTGATTTTCTTAAACATCAGCCAGCCATTTCTTCAATCATTTTCTTCAATGACTTCTCTGAAACTATTTGTGACAGACACTTTCCTGAGCTTCTCATCGGTTAATTAATAATGGCAAACCAACAGTCTAAGGGTTAGAACATGCTAATTCTCATATGTCCTCCCACTCCACCCATTCCTCCCATTCCAGGGTCCATCCATTAGGAATTTCCATGACTACAACTTCTGCTATAGTTAGCTGGTAGCCCACCCCAGCAGCACATGATAAAGCAGTCTTACAGCTTTAGCTAGATCAATAATTTTTTTCTCTACCACATTCGGAGAATCTCCAAACATAGCCTCATAATCAACTTCTGAGGAATTCTGCATTTTTAAACTATTAATGATCTTTCAACACCTGCATTCTTAAAATTTATCATTGCAAGAATTCAGAGTGTTCTTTTAATAATGTCTACATCAACTTACCGATCTTCATTAGCTGAAGCTAGTGAGTCTAAGGATGGGACACACTGAATTTGAGCGCAACTCTCTCTTAGAACAATGCCTTCTTCAACAGCAGCTCATTTGGCATTAAAGGTACCTGTAACTCTTTCTTTTCATTCATTTTAACATTACCTGTCCCATGAACTTTCAGTACAGGTATTCCATCTAAAAGTTTCCCCAGATGCTCATTTTGGCTTTCCTTTTTATGAATTGTGGTATTTAACTGTTCAATTACTTCCTGAATATATTTTTCAATTTAAGACTTGTTGCCTTTTCCTTTGAAGAGTATGGCATCATCTTTAGTCAGAATGACCTCTCCAACTTTTTCTAAGTCATGAGGATGAACATCCTGAAGATTTATTGTTAGCCTCTTTCATATATTTAACCACCAGTAGCAATAGCTATATCATTAAGCTGGTTCTTTCTATTGTCATCAAAGCCAGGGGTTCTGACTGCTATAATCTGAAGACAAACTTTCAGCCTATTCAAAATGAATGTACTTAGAGCTTCTCCATAATCATCTTCAGTAATTATTACCAAGGGCTTTCTGTGAGCATCAGCAATTGCAAGGGCAAGTACAACGAACTGGATGCTACAAATTTTCTTTTTGTTAAATAGAATATAGGTATCCTGGAATTCACATCTCTGACCTTTTGACGTATATAAAGCATGGGAAAATAGAACCTTGATCAAACTTAAGGCCTTCAGTAATTCCCAATTCATCTTTCAGTGTTTTTCCATCCTTTTATGTGATGACGCTTTTACTTCCAAACTTTTTTATTGCATCAGAAATGATGTTGCCAATATCGTTGTCTCAATTTGCAGAAATCGTAGAAACCTGAGACATGTCTTTCAGAGGGTGTTACAGGTTCAGACTGCTTCTTAAGTTGAACAATTACAGCATCTAGGGCTAACATCACACCTCTCTTGATTTCCCCTGGATTGGCAACAGTACAGTGGCAGTGATGGTGCATCCCTGGCCTCTTCCTTTATATTATTGGCAACATCTTGAACAAGTTTAGCCTCAATATTTTTATATTTATCCTTTAAGTCAATTGACTTTCCAATGATCACACCATCTTCTATTACTTTGGAACTTCTTCAACTCTATTCAGTAATCACTCTGCTCCTTTCATCCCTTAGTAACAGCTACAAAATCTACACTTGAAGCATTAAGGCTCAGGGAACTGCACCAAATTTTATATCATTGGCATAAGCCCAGTTGAGATGAGGAACCAGGGCACTGGACACCTGCCTTATCTGGCAAAGGACTGCAAGTAATTGAAGCATTTCTGCAAAGCAGCAGCAAGACATGCACAGGCTGCACACAGAAAGAAGCCTCACATCCCATCCCCCTTCGCCACTCCTCCAGCCCCTCAGCACAGCATTGCCTTGAGGGCAGTTTCCATCCCCTTCATGTTGGCAAGGCCCCACAATTGACATGCATTACACTTGGCTTTTTTTCCTTAAGTTAAATATCTTGGATATTACTCTGTATTAGTTTATAGAGGTTTTCCTCATTCTGTTCTAGTTTCTTAGTACTGCACTGTGTGGATGTACGAAATTCTGTTCAATCACTCTCCTATGTATGAGCATTTACTTCATTTCCAATATTTTGCAATTACAAACAGTGCTGCAATGAATAACCTCATGCATGTGTATTAGCAATGTATATTCAGGGTAAATTCCTAAAAGTGTCATTGCTAGATAGAAAGGTAAATGTACATGCAGTTTTATTAAACATTGTTAAATTCCTCTCCAAAAAGGTGTGCAAGTTGGCATTGCCTCTAACAATGTGTGACAGTCCCTGTTTCCCCGTAGTCCCACCAAGAGGGTGTGTTGTCATACTTTTTAATGTTTACCCATGTAATAGGTGGGAACTGCCCTTGTTTTAATTTGTACTATTTCTCTAATTGTGTTTGTATTTGAACTTTTTGGGGGACCGGATGTACTCGAGTAAGCTCTCTCTCTCTCTCTCTCGTCAGTTCAGGTCTTTCTCTTGTTTTTCCATTGGGGTATTGATCCTTTTTCCTTCAATTTTATGTGTTCTTTATGTACTGGGGAGATTACTCCTTTGTGTTACACATTGCAAACATTTTCTCCCAGTTTATCAATTGTCTGCGATTTTATTTATGGTGTTGTTTTAGTTTTTTGTTTTTAAATTTGTAGTTGGTTTATTCTTGTTTTATCTCCTCTGGATTTTGAGAAGTACAAAATATTTCACTACTGTATAATGAAATTAAAGAGGAATTCACCTCTGCTTTCTTCAGTTTCTTGTTTGTTTGAATTTTCTTTTTTACATTTAGATTCCTGGTCTATTTAGAATTTATTCTGGTGTATAGTATGAGGTATGCAACTGATTTTATTTTTTTTCCAAATGGTAAACCAGTTGTCCCACAAACATTAATTAAAAAGTCTCTCTTTGCCCAGTGATGCCCCAAATGTGTTACCTGTATCATATAATAAATTTATATGTGTATTTGAATCTATATCTGAGCTTTCTGTTCTATTCCACTGACTTTGTTGTCTATTATTGTGCCGTTACCACATTATTTTAATTATAGAAACTTTGAAGTGCACTTTTATATCTGGTAGAAGCAGTGTTCTCTTATGGGTTTTCTTCTCCAGTGTTTTACTACCTCTTCTTGCATGTTTGTTTTTCCATATGAACTTTTATTATCAACTTGTCTTACTACATAAAAAGTCTGATGATGTTTTTATAAGGAGTGAGTTAAATTCATAAACTAACATGGGAGAAACATTGCTATAATGTTGAATAATGTAATACAAGAAAGGGGATGTCTTCTCACTTATTCGAGTCTACTTTTGCATCTTTTGGGGATGTTTTAAAATTTTTCTTATAGAAATCTTACACATTTCTTTTTAAGTTTATTCTAGAATGTTTAATTTTTGTGTTTTAATTGTAAAAGGTATTTTCACATCTTTCTTAGGAGTTCTACTTAAGAAATTCCTGACACCCACTCATGTCTTTCTTTTAAAAATGCAAATTTGTCCATTTTTTGCAACCTTTCAAAAGCCTCTATTTTTATTAAGATGAAGAATGAGCTCCTTGGCTAGGTCCACCAAGAGCTTAGTCTTCTGGTCCAGATGTCTATTTCTCTGACCATTCTCTTTTCTCTGTGGACTATAACCACACTGGCCAGTTTTCTTTCTATAGGGCCTTTGCATATCTAACTCCCTCAGTTTGTAATGCTCTCATGTACTTAACCACTACCTCCTTATCTAGTCAATTCTTAGCCATCTTTCAGAACTCACATCAAAGTCACTATCTCTAGAATGCCTTTCCTGATTTCTAAATTGGACACCCTTTTAAAAAGTACTCATAAAACCTATACTTCTTCTTAGCACTTCCCACAACTGAAATTAAGTAATAATGATGTTTTAAGTTGACTAATACAAGCAGCATGGGAGAATGGGCCATTTCTTTAGTGGCTGCTACAGAACTTTGTACCTTGTAGGCCCTCATTGAATGAAGAAAGAAAGCCTATACATGTTAATTTGTATTGAATAAGCATTCAGTATATTTATAGACATAGAGGAATAATGAATTATAGATATAAGATATTTGTATAATGCTAGAATATCAATAGATTTTTAAGTCCTCCTATTTGCTTGTATGTACATTTTTGCAAAAGCAGTTAAAAACTAGTATTTCTTTTCAACAAAGAAACTCATTTCCAGCACTTGAATGTACTGTGGCTAAAAGGTTAGATGACATAGGTTAAGTCTATAAAAATTTATAAGAACCTGCCTATTAATTATTTATCCCATTAGGCTTTGGTGTCTAATGCAGAAAGGGTACAAGGTCATAGGTTTGACAGTTTAGCAAATTAAAAATAAAATCATAGTCTTAACTCTTTTCTATGTAAAAGTGTATCAAAAAGTCATTTTTAACAAAACTTAAAACATTAAAAAGTGAATTTAAAAAAATCCATAATTTTACCTCCATTGTGGAATAACTACTGTCTTCCTGTTTACTTCCAATATTTATTTGTTGGCTTATATAGCTTTAACATAGTTGTAATAAGAGTGTATTTAAAAAATTGTATTTTGTACTTCACCTAATGTGATTTCATGAACACTTTTCTTTATTGGTTTTTAGTTTTGAATTCTATCGTTTTTATGGCTACATAAATTTCCTTACATTGATGTCTCCAACCTATTTAACATTTCCCCTGGACTACAATTGGTAAGGCTACATTATTTTTCAGAGTTTACTGCAAGTACCCACCCCTGCTGTACTCAGTTCTGCTTTTCACATATGTTATAATGTCTTCACACAAATCTTTTAAGTTTTTGAATTATTTATTTGGAATAAAATGATAAGGAATGACCATATGAATCAGAAGATAGAATGAACTCGTTTTTGTTTTATTATCTAACTGTACTCTAAAGCAACAATAACAAGTCACTATTTAACTGGTTGCTCATAAGTTTTGTGCTTATTGCATCTTGACATTAGTATAGGTTGATTTTTCTTACTTTAAATACATAATTATATGTGAAAAAGAATCCATGCCTAAGTTCAATCTAGATTTCATCACTTTTCTAGCAAGTTGACACTGGACAAGTAATTTATCTTCTGTGTCTTATGCCTTTAATCCCAGCACATTGGGAGGCTGAGATGGGCAGATCACTTGTGGTCAGGAGTTCCAGCCCAGTCTGGCCAACATGGTGAAACCGCATCTCTGCTAAAAATACAAAAATTAGCCGGGTGTCATAGTACATGCCTGTAATCCCAGCTACATGGGAGGCTGAGGTACGAAAATTGCTTGAACTCAGGAGGTGGAGGTTGCAGTGAGCAGAGATCATGCCTCTGTACTCCAGCCTGGGTAACAGAGTGATTCTGTCTCAAAAAAAAAAAAAAAAAAAAGAAAGGAAAATAATTTTGCATATCTTATAAGATTGCATGTGTTAATATGTGAAAAGTGCTTAAAAGAGTGTCTGGCACACATCAAATGCCATCTGTCTTGTTTGTTGTTATTACTTTGATTTGTTAATATTTATTTTTTATCTTTTTATTATATAAATGTCTTTTCATGCCCTTTCCCATCTAGGTACCATTGGTTGTAGATATTTCCTATTCTTTGGTTTTTCATTATGCCTATTATTATTATTTTATTTTATTTGGTTTTCTAATTATATAGATATGTATATGTGTGTGTTTAAAATTTCATACACTTATATTTACCATTGTGTTTTCTAGTATTATTGGTCCAGAATCATCACAATGACTTGGGAATTTATTTCTGTTTTCAGCTGCTTTATTTTATATTTAATTAATAAAACATTATGGTTTATCATTGAAAGTGTAGATAGAGATAGCTTCTCTTCAACAACTAGGAAAAATATTAATACACAAATGCAATGTAATCCCAGGCTGAAGTGGGAGGACCTCTTGAGGCCAGGAGTTTGATACCAGCCTGGGTAACATAGTGAGATCCTTTCTCTAAACACATTTTTAAAATTAGCCAGATGTAGTTGCAGCACCTGTATTCACAGCTACTTGGGAGGCTGCGGCAGGAGGATCACTTGAGCCTAGGAGTTCAAAGCTGCAGTGAGCTATGATTGCAACGCTGCACTCCAGTCTGGGAGATAGAGTGAGATCCTGCCTCTGTTTTTTAAAAAAATGCAAGTGGCTAGAGAAAAATATTGGTATATTACTATGATCAAATATCTACTATTCAGTAAAATATATAAATTAAAACGTTTACTTTTAAAGTTACACACCTAACTTTAAATGAAGTCAGTTTAAAATTTCATAGTATTAGGTCTAAATGTGTATTATGCTTATTCATTTGTTCTTCTGCATTTTCTGGTGCTGTCACACATCCAACAAGTAGCACTTTTCAGGTGGAAGAGGCCAAGTGGAAGTGCAATCTTAATCAATGATTTCCCCTCACTATTTAATTGCATTTAAGGAGGTTAGAATTGTGTTTGCCTTACACCTCCTGAAAGTAACAGCCAATACTTTAAATAAACCTTGTTTCCTATTCATATGAACACATGCACTCTCTCCTATAATGGAATTGCATTCTTGATCAATACGTAGTAGATGTGTTGTGCTTCAAAATAAGGAAATGCTTTACTTAAAATCATGCAGTTACATATTCTAAAGCTCCTTGATTGTCTTGAGAGATCTGTGGACTTCCAAAAGTAACTTCCAAGTAGATGTAATATGAAGACATATCCTATCCCATATCATCTTAATCTGTGTAAATACACTTTCATTGCAGTCAAGAACTTACTCATTCAACAAATAATGCTGAACATTGACTACATGCCAAGCACTGTGTTAAGCACAGAAGATATATTTGTAAGCTAGCGGTTAAAAAAGCAAAGTAAGCAAGCAATTTCATCACTGTGTGGCAAATCCTATGAAAGGAATGACAACAGCACAATAAATGGGCACAGACGAAAAGTGCCTCAGTCGGTCTCAGGAGACCAAGAAAAACTTTCAAACTAAACCAGAATGGGGAATAAGCCTCATCAAAATTGGAGAGAGGTTTCACCAAGTATAGAGGCAAGAACAAGCATAAGTTACCAGGTAACTCAGAATGATTGACATTCAAAGGAATAGGGATGGTTGAGAAGCTGGTGAGTGAGGCATAAATGTTCATGGATAGCCTTTCATGACACCTGAAGAATTTGACTTTATATCAATGAGAAAGAAAAGTCAATATAGATTTGGAGTTTTGAAGGCAATCTTGTTTACTGTGAGGTGAATACACTGGAGAGGAACAAAGCCAGAGGCAGGAAAAGCAGTGAAAAGGGAATGCATTCATCCACATAAGAGTTGACGGTGGCTTGAACTCATTTAATGTCGGTGGGAATTAAAAGAAGAGGAGTTTCAAAGTAGACCTGACTTGGCATTTCGAATGCATGGATTTGAAGGCTGAAAAAGAGAGGAGTTAAAGATAATATCCCAATTTCTGGCCTGAGCATCTGGGTAAATGGAAGCTATCATCAGTATATAGACATCTGCTGACAAATAAGGGAAAAGAAAAAAGATGCAATGCAGGATTAGATAGATTCATTGAAAGTTTGCCAGCCTCTGCCTAGTTGTCACATGGGATTTGAGCACTTTTGTTGTCAGTGAGGCTTAAATATGGAGGAAAATAATTGGGCCACATGGGATTGGAACTACTAATAGGGATGATCTACTCTGGTTTAGCAATATGTGTCTGGCATCAGCTTGCAATTGCCAACACAATTGTTTCACTAATTAAAGAAGAGGAGAATGATATGGTAGGATTCTGGAAATATGTTCACCTATCTGAGGTTCAAGTGTTACACATAAATGAGCTGACTCATTCCCCTCTTTCTGCAGCTACATAATTAATGCATCACATCAAGTCAATGGTTATCAAAAATGTTTCTGCAATGTGAGTTTTGTCACCGTCCCAGAGGGATGCTTAAGGTGGCACCTATGTGCACTCTTCGTGTATTACCAGTGTCATATAATAAAATATCACATCTCTATGCTTTATTGGGCAGTATAAATATGTGTGGATTTACCATAGATATTTATTCAATTGACAAATATTTATTGAGTGCCCCACTAGGATCTAGGCACTGTTCCAGGTGCTGAGAATACAACAGTGAATAAAACAGACAGTGTTCCTATTTTCATGGGGCTTTTAGTAGTTGAAGACAGGTGATAAACAAGTAAGTATGCCAGATGGTGATAAATGTTATGAAGAGTAATAAAGCCGGGTAAGGGGAAAGGGATGTGTGGGTAGTGGTTGGATAAAAGAGTTGTGTAGTTACTACTTTAAGTAGGGTAGTTTAGGAAGACTCTTTGATAAGGTGATGTTTAAACTGAGTGAAGGGCTGAGGGACAGAGCCCCGTGCGTGTCCATGGGATAAGTGTTCCAAGCAGAGGAAATAAGTGTAGAACCTTTCAATTTCTGTGCAAGGTGTAGCAATAGAAACAAAGATAAATAAAACCATAGCCCTTGACCTCAAGGAACTTACATCGTAATACAGGAAATAAAAAAAATAGAAAGTAGAATGTGTCAAGATGAAGATAAAAGTTATGACATTTCTTCTGGCAGAACGGACTGAAAGAAAATACTAATTAAGAACTGGAACAACAAATGACATCAATGTTGCAGCCGTCTCCAGATGACAGAAGATTGACAATGCCTGAAACTATGATCTTGTTCCAGTTTCAATGTGGTCATGTGATGTGATCTTGTATAGAGAGTGCAGCTAGTGTCCTGAATAATTCTATCAGTCCCACTCACAGGTTATATTTGAAATCAAATAACAAGTTGGGGACATCCTACAAAAGATTTCTAGGAAGGGGTTTGTCCTCTTCCTGCTCTATTTGCAGCACATAGCACAGAGGAGGGAACAGGGACATGGTTGATCCTCAATAAATATTTTCTGAATGAATAGATAACTGAAAGAGAAAATAAATGCCCAGCATTTACATGATATTCATGAAGACATAGCTTGTCAGTTTCGGCATTAGTAAAGAGTACAAAGGAAGACATGAGCACTTGACGAAAAGTCTATAAACTCTTAAACAGGAAATAGTTGTAGGAAGTTAGGATAACTCAGCAGCACAGACCAGACTGACATGGCATATTCAGCAATTGGGTAGCTCTTTTGTGCAAAGACTTGGGGCTGACTTCCTATCTTAAGTGGCTGCCCCTTAAATAGCAGCATGTTCTGCGACTAGCAGTTGCAGCTGCAAAACTAAGGAATCATCATGACATGTGCAGAGTGAAAAGTCCTGTCATTCCTAAATAGGTCTTTCAGCCACACCTGCGTGTGGATCATAATTAGTGTCTAGTGTCATCAACAAATATGACAGATAACAATATGATGTGCTATATGCTATGAATAGGAGAGTGGAAGACAAAGTGCTATGTCCTCTTTTCCAAGGTGATTTTTTATGCACATTCTCTCTGGTGTTCTGATGGATTATATACAAGAAGTTTTCCTTGGTTCCACTGGAATTTACTTGAGGCCAGAATTACTTCTACGTTGATTTGATTCCTTTCGTGTCTCATTGCAAAGCAGTTCATTGTTACCAGGGAAACAGATTCAACTCCGAGTGCCAATGAATAGCCCAGAGAATTTTAATAAAATGGCCTCTGACCCCAGCTGAGTGCCACTGAAGCCATATGACTACTATCTTAATTTGATACTTTCCTATGTGCATAAATAATTTCAGGGCAACCAAAAGATGCCATGTTTTTCATGAGGTTTATACAAAAACATAAGTCCTACTTTAGGCAGTATTATGATGCCTAAAACAATAATCTTGCACTATAATTACATTAATTATATGTCACATTAACACTTTTCCGTTATAGACATTTAATATTAACATAATTAATATATATGTTATGGTTCTAGAAGTCACTAAAAACCTCATTTGTTTGCACGTAGTATCAATAACAATAAGTGAAAATAGCTAGTGAGTACAAAATCAGTGACATGGTAAGTAGAAACTTCTAAATGAATGGACTCTTTTTCCTTATTTCTAGCATGACATAGTAGCATATGTGAGAAATAGAGAGGAAGGGCCATGTTTCAAATCATTGCCATCTCCACTGCTGGGCTTTAACTTTGAGGAAAAAGAAAATAAGAAAAGGCACTTAAAGGTGGTTCTTAACCTGTGTTGGAAAAAAGCATGCCTTTGAAAAGCTGATGAAAGCTATAGGCTCTCTCTCTTTCACTCCAGAGAAAGGCCCAAATGCACATATGAGTATATGTACCCATTTTGCCTACAATTTTAGGACTCTCATGACTCATCTAAGAAAACGACATGTTGGCATAAAAGACTCAATTCACAATTTGCACTCATTTCACAATTGCACCACCCCTCCCCCCACTCTTAAACACAGTTCTTGGCACACAGTGGAACGAAATAAATCTATCTTAATTAAATGGGTGAATGAGTGGATGTATGAAGGAGCACAGGGGCTTGGCTTCCAAACAATTCAGGTCTTCTTGTTAGGGAGCATCTAAGGTAGACAGCATTCTGCAAAGGTTTGCAAAGCACACCTGTGCCTTCTTTGAAAAGCAAATTTGCATGTTCTTCTCTTCTAAAGCACATGCTTCCTCCCCATCTTTCACAGTCATGTCCTTCCACCTTTGCCCCACCTTTTAGCAGAGTCAGGCTCTTTTCAGGCCTATTTTAGCTTAGGGGTTTTTAACCTCTTTTTATTGAATGAATCCTGAGAGTCCTAAAGTTGTAGGCAAATTTGGCATATACACTTGTACATGCATTTAGGCTTTTTTTCTGGAGAGAAAGAGAGAGAGAGACTCTAGCTTTCATCAGCTCTTCAAAGGCATGCTGTTTTCCAATACAGGTGAAGAACTACCATTAAGTGCCTTTTCTCATACCACCAAAACAGTCACACTCTGTGTTCCATTTAAGTGCTTGTTTTCCTTTTGTTCTATAATAGAAAATAATAAAGTAACAAGTATGCTAGAGAATACAAACAATAGCTATTTCAGAATATAAAATATATCAGGAAAAGTTGGCTGGGTGCGGTGGGTTCCATCTATAATTCCAGCACTTTGGGAGGCCAAAGCAGACAGATAACCTGAGGTCAGGAGTTCAAGATCAGCCTGGCCAACACGGTGAAACCCCATCTCTACTAAAAATACAAAAATTAGCTGGGGTGGTGGCACGTGCCTATAATCCCAGCTATTTGGGGGGCTGAGGCAGAAGAATTGCTTGAACCCAGGAGGCAGAGGTTGCAGTGAGTAGAGATCACACCACTGCACTCCAGCCTGGACGATTAGAGCAAAACTCTGTTTCAATAAAAAAAAAAAATCAGAAAGAAATATGTCAGGAAAAGTCTATTCTTACATCTCTTTGATAGTGTATCTTGTGCAGAATAAAATAAACCTTAAAAATCCTTTTCAGGTGCAAACATTTCAATTAATTAAATTTCAGTAAGAGATGAGAAATGGTATCTAGCAAATGATGGAGTGCTATTTATAGTGTGCCTATTGTATTTAATAGAATGCTTATTATTATTAAATTTTAAAAACGTTTAATAGACAACATTCACTTTGATACATACTGAATGCACTTAGGAAGCCCCCAAATATGATTTAATGACTATATATAACAACTTAATTTTATTTTACACACTTAAAATAAATGGTTTCACTAAATCAGTAAATATTTATTAAGGTTTTATTTTGTTGTTAGCCTCTGTGATATACATTAGAATAGAGATAATGAGAATAAGACATCGCCCTTGTCCTCAAAACCCAGTAGTAGAGATGGGCAATGATGACACAGACTGAGAAGTCCTACTTTAAGGGCACACCTGGGCCACTGTGTGAGCCAAGGTCAAGTACGTAACATGCTTTTTGGGCTCAGGGGAAGCTTGAAAGAGGAAGTAACTTCTAAGTTTACCAGTTTGAGTGTACTGAACCCAAGGAAGATGAGGTGGGCAGATATGGTGGGTGATCAATGAACCAGGTAGTGAGGGCAGCCAACATAAAAGTCCCAACATAAAAGAGAGGTTGATGCCTTCAGGAAATTGAAGATTTCTTCAGAAGAACTGAAATGCCAAAGAATTGAGTCTTTTATGTCATTGAAGTGCTTGTTTGCCTTCTTTTCAGAGAGGATGAGGACCTTTTACAGACTTTTTAACAAGGGGATACAAATTGGATCCAAGAGAGACTAGAATACAATGGTATACAATATTTTATGTGTTTAGATGTCAATAGCTGAGAGAAATTAGTTTGAATACTCAAGCCTCTAGAGTTTGGCTTCCATAATCTTCAGGTTTAAGTAATGGCTCCTAGCCAAGAAGTAACCTTAAAAAAATAGCAACTAAATTCTCATCTCCTATCAAAGAAGCAGGCATTTAGCAAACAAAAATAAATATAACTATATAAAGAAAAAAGGACTTCAAGGCTATGCTCCAAATGCAGTCAGAGGTTGGTGCCTTGCAGGTTAAGAAAGAAATGTTGATTGACTGGAATTGTTTAGGAAAGGCTACCCTTTTCGAATCACAGTAAGACTAATTGGAAAAGCAAGACAACCACCCCCCTACCAAACGCGCACGCACACACACACAGACACACACACACACACACACACAGACACACACACACACACAGACACACACACACACGCACGCATACACTCTCTCTCTCTCCAGGATGAAAAGCATAAGTAGCTCAACAAGACAAGGACAGAAGGCCCAGGCCATGGGCCTGGCCATGGGGTAGTGTGCCTGGCTGACACCAGCACCACAGGGAAGAGAATCAGCTGGGAAGAGATGGAAGATATAAAAGCTCTGTAATAGGACCTCTCAAACACAAACCAAAATAGATCAAAACCAACAAACCTGAGAGGCCAAGTATAGTGTTCTGCAGGGCTAAAACACAAGTTGAGAATACATATTTAATTTTTTTCCCAAAGATTTTAAGTTCAAATTAAGCAAAGAGACAGTGGTTTGGCATGTAAAAGATGCATTGGGGTCTGCATAGCAGAATAGGAGAAAAAGTGTGAATTAAAATAAGATCTTGGGTTCAGACTTCCTACTGAACTAGCTATGTACCCTTGCACATGTTACTTTGCTAACTTGAGTCCCCAGATTCCATATCTGTTTAGATTTTTTGTGACCAATTAAGTGCTCAGTCAATGGTAGCTGTTATGACTATTGCTATTAATAAAAATAAGTAAAATCCTATATTGCCTAAAATGCCTCTAATATGGCAGCCACTTGAAATGTGGCTAGTGTAATTAAAGAACTGAATTTTAAATTTTATTTAACTTTAGTTAAATTTAAAATCCTTGATATTTAGTTATTAGAAAGCTTTATGAAAACATATGACAAAACATTCTAAAAAACATTTATGTTTGGAACCACGTAAATATATGAATCAAATTTTTCAAGAGTAAACTTTAGGAACTTTAAATATAGATGAAATATTTCCACTGTAAAATTGACATCTGAATTAAGATGTGCAGTAAGTGTAAAATAAACATCAGATTTTGAAGATTTTAAAGAATGTATTAATAAAATAATTAATAATATTTATGTTGATTATATGTTAAAATGATAATATCGTAGGTTGAAATAATAATATTGGTTTAAATAAAACATTGTTAAGATAATTTAACTTGTGGCCGGGAGCATTGACTTACGCCTATAATCCCAGCACTTTGGGAGGCCGAGGTGGGTGGATCACGAGGTCAAGAGATCAAGACCATCCTGGCCAACATGGTGAAATCCCTCTCTACTAAAAATACAAAAATTAGCTGGGCATAGTGGCATGCTCCTGTTGTCCAAGCTACTCAGGAGGCTGAGGCAGGAGAATCGCTTGAACCCTGGAGGCAGAGGTTGCAGTGAGCCGAGAATGCACCACTGCACTCCAGCCTGAATGACAGAGTGAGACTCCATCTAAAAAAAAAAAAAAATTAGCTTGTTTCTTCTTAAAAATGCATTACTAGAAAATATAACGGTCATTCTATTGGACAGGGCTAGTTTACCTATTCAAAATAAGTATCTTTATTGGAAGTTACTGGTGGTTCGTGCAAAATAAGTAATTCCCCAATGTTGCAGAATTAAAAATAATTACCATTTATTAAGTCCCTACGGTGCTGTAGATCATGAATTTGCAAAATTCTTTAAAGACCAGATAGCAAACATTTTAGGCTTTTTGAGTCATACAATCATAACTACTCAACTGTCTTTGTAATTAAGAGTAGCCATAGAATGAGCCTGGCTATGTTCCAATAAAACTAGAAAAACAGATGAAAGGCTGGATTTGGTTCATGGGTTGTAATTTTCTGATCTCTGTGCTGTAGATATTTCTCAAGACATATTTCATACAGTATTTCTAATCCCAACTGTGCTGTCAAATAGAGCCTATTATCCATATTTAGGAAGGAAAGAAAGAAATATGAATACTTGTGCTCTGTTAGCGTTTACAATGATCAAAAATGTAAACCAGCATTTACAAAGCAAGAGGGTAATAACATGCTAAAAAGAACTGCCCTGTGTAAATATGCAGGAAAAAAATGCCAGATTCTTACTCTGGCCATCAGTAAGATCCTGCATCTCTCTAGAATATTTACATTCCCTTTTTTAAAGTCTTGAGTTTAAAAAAAAATAGATTGCTCTGCATCAATCATTGGGAAGGTTTACTGTATTTTCACAATCGAAACCACTGCTAGAGATTTTTAAAAAATTAGTCATTTTCAGAAATCCATAATCTCATACAAGTTTTTCTTTCCTCTTGGCCAGATGTCTTCTGCCAGTTTGCTGATAAAACTGCATATTGAACAGATGCAAGAGTGGAGTGCTAGATAAGAACTATTTCATAACATGCACAATTAGTTGAGTTTGCAAGAGAGTAAATAGCAAACTTTATTAGTCATGTTTTTGGTCTAATTTCTTTTTTATTAATGATGGCTTGATTTGACCCTTCCCCTTTGTTTTATTTGTTTATGATGTTTAATCACTGGCTGCTTAAAATATAAAGAATAACAACCTATTAATAACATAAAGCGGTGCAAAGATAACTGAAGCTTTCAATGCCCTCAGTAAAATCTGAGGCAGATATGATCAAGCTCTTTAATAGCAGAATATGATGACTTCAGAGTCTAGCGTGTGTGTTTTTTTCTTTTTGAGAAGCACAATGTATGCCAAAATGTCATAATTTTATTTTGCATGCTTCACGTCCATTTATATTTCAGTAATGCCCAAAATGGTGTTATTTAACTGAAGTAAAGTATACTATGAGTTAGTGTAGTAATCTATATTAAGTTATTTGCATTACTTCATAAATAAAAAATTACCCAGTTTATGTGTTACAGATGAGATCACTGTATTTTTGCCTGATTGCGATTCACGCACTGACTTGTGAATGCAAAGTCTTTTCTTTCACAATTCCATATCCCTAGAATTTGACTTTTAAAGTTGAAATAATGAGTTACCAAAAAGTTATATAAAAGCATAATTAGACAAATGGCTATTTTCAACTTAGCAGTTAAATAAGTATGGTGAGCTATCCTTTCGATTTGTCAAGGGGAACATCTTAAGATGGATTTTTCCAGGTTGATCTTATGACTTACTCACTTTTGAAAATGGTGCTACTCTCCAGTAACAGGAATGAAGCTATGGAAGTGTAAAGCAATAGCATATGTTCCAGTGATATTTAACATGTCCCAGTTCATATAACATATCTCCAATAGCACTGGTTTTCTTGAGAGTAGAGGCCCCACTGGAATGTAAGCACGCTAAATAATAATGTTTGCTATGGTGTCTTAGACCCAGAAATCACTCGTTTAATGGCAACTTTCTTTTTTTTTTTAAAAAAAAGAGGAAATGATTATATATGTAATGTGCCTAATGCAGATCTGACCCATGGGGGGTTCTTAATAAATGGGAACTATTATTCTATCTATCATCATTGTTGTCGTCACTGTCATCATCATCATTATCATCAATCCAATCAAATTTTTATATCTCCTAAATTCTGTTACATCCTGGAACTGCATCTTTCAAATAGGTCACCACTATGGGGTTCACTTATTACTTAATTTGTGTTGATTTTACATGTTCTCTTTAATGCATAGTTTTACAATATAGAGATATATATTTACATTTTTACTTTTTTTTTTTTTTTTTTTTGAGACGGAGTTTTGCTCTTGTAGCCCACGCTACAGTGCGATGGCACCATCTCGGCTCACTGCAACCTCCGCCTCCCTGGTTCAAGAAACTCTCCTGCCTCAGCCTCCCAAGTAGCTGGAATTACAGGCGCCTGCCACCATGCCCGGCTAATTTTTGTATTTTTAGTAGAGACAGGGTGTCACCATGTTGGCCAGGATGATCTCGATTTTTTGACCCCCTGATTCGCCCACCTCGGCCTCTCAAAGTGCTGGGATTACAGGCGTGAACCACTGCGCCTGGCCACATTTTTACTTTTTAACATGTGTTGGCATTTAAAATACACTTTAATTAAAAAATAACTTATTTACTCATCAAAATAATCTTATGAGGTAAGTACTATTGTTATCTTATTTTACAGATGGGGAAACTGAGGCATAGTTGTTTAGAGCTAATTTTTAATTAAGCCAAGCAAACTACTTATTATCCAGATACCTTTATAAAATTCAAATTAGATTTTCATGAGAAAATTGCTGCTTATGGCTAAAGTGTACAAAGTAAACAGACTACATTGTCTTCTAAGAAACTTTTTTTCTGTGTTATTTTATTTCTTCATTTTTGTTTCCTATATTTAAAAACCACTTTCTGGAAACAATTTTTTTTGTTGTTGTTCAGTCTTGTCACTCTGATCAAGCATATATCAATCTATCTAACTGGGTTGTTGTTACCTATGGAAGTATATGCCACAGGATCCTGGCTTTCTGCACTTGCTTCACTCAGGAAAAGTTATTTATATTAAAGAAAATTGATATCATCAGCTATTTTTATATTAGGGAATCGTAACAATGCTTCCTTCTCCACACATGTTTGCACGCACACAAGCCCACACACACACCCCCTGTCTCAAAAGGCCAGTTCTAACTAATCTCCATATAAGAGAATGGCCAGACCTCAGGATCCAAAGAAAAACTGGCCCTTCCTATTTTAAAGATGAGGAAATGAAAACTGAGTTTAAAAGACACATATTCATTCAGAGGAAGAAGAAAAAGATTGGCCAATTAACTCATGGAGTTTAAATATTTATTCTTGAAGTTGATTATGATTCCTTAATAACTTTGCCTTTATTAAAAGTGAGCAGAATCTGAAATGTGAATTTAAAAAAAAAATCTCTGGAAAAGGTCACATAGATCATTCTCCATCCTTGGCAGGAAAATGACTACCCAGCATGGGTGGGTGAATGTTCTCTTAAAAAGTTCTGAGAGCATGCACATATCTTTTTATTTCAGATATTTACATATTTCTGTTATTTGAACATCTTCATCACGGATGTAAGCATATTGTTAAGAAAGCTTTATGCACATTCCTAATTCTTCATTTGGAATGTTTGCTTCAGGAATATCTTTTCTATGTCAACAGCCCCATTCAGACCCTCTCTCCCCCTCTTTTTAAGAGTACTGCACCCCTATCAGAGTTGGCTAATTTCTACTAGGATATAAGTGACTGATTACTAATTAAAATGTTAAGCCATACACAGCAAATTTAAACACATACACCTTGAAGACTGTTCAAATATTAAGTTTGTCCAAACACTATCAATTCCTTAAAGAAAACAAAAATGAGTAGCTTGTGTGAGCAAGTGAATTTGAGCCGGGTTAAGGAAATAATGGAAATTATTAAACATAAGGGAAAGGTAAGAGTAAACTTGCTAAAGGCAGAAGCAGTGAGAGTTGCCATGGAAATCAAGGAATTCTCCCTTTCCAATAAGGCAGAAAAGTTACAGCATCAAGAAGGGGGAAGGCATTGCATTTCTTCTCACTCTCTCAATCTTTCTGTCTATGACGTTGAAGAAAAAAAAGATGTAAGTATAGACACTAAGGGAAAATGAAATCAAATGATTCTTGGATCCTGCCAGGACCAGCAGAAGGTGGTCCTAGATAAGGGAGTTAGCTAAGGTATAAGGATAAGCACTAATTAAAAACTTGTGGCCCAGAAGCTGCCAGCAGGAACTTGATGGTTTTTCAATGGAGATGGACTAAGCTTCAAAGTAAGAAATAATCGTGCTTCCCAGTATCTGCTAGTTACAACCTCACAAAGCTCTGCACTGCAAAAGCCATTTGCTAGAGAGGCTGGACTCTGAACCACAAAGTTCTGGGTTGACTGCACCAGAGGCATTGTATTACATGCCTTGCGGATACTAAGGAAAAGGAGAGAGAATAAAATCAAATTAAAGCTATAACTACACCAGGAGTTTTAATCAGAAAGCTAAATGTCCTGTTCAGTGTTTTTGAAATCCTTGTTCCTAATTGTGGTCCTTTTTTGGTATCTATCATCATTTAATTCTCTAAATAATAGTAATATCTGGCCAATAAAATGTGTAATGTTCTCAAGAAAATAATTATGACACTGAGAATTTTAGGGGCCTGTTTATAGAGAAGTACATTGCTGGCTTTAATTTATCCATAATTCAGTTCAATTTCCTATCATGTGGTTTTACAATAGAACTGAGACTCCAAGTTCTAGGTCATTAAAAGGGTCAGAAAAAACGTACACAACTCATCATGCTTTTCTAGGATATTTGCATTTCACTAAGGCACAAAGCCTTAAATTTTGTCATCGGAGAACAGGCAAAGGAGGGTTTGGACAAAGGCTATTTGAGCATTTTCATTATCTCTTAAGTGACAGCAGAAGTGCTGTCCCCTGCTCTAATACACTTTCCCTTTTGCCAAATTACACTTTCTCCAATTTCACCAAATTCCATCTCTTCTTGGTGATGCCTTCAAATAACCAGGGTCATGAATAATTGCTAAACTACTTAACATTTTCCTCATAAAATATATTTATTGGCTTAATATCATATAATCATATTGTGTTTAATGCCATTTTTAGGACTAAATGTAAACATTCATCTTCTATTTTTGTTACCTACCCCACTCTCTCTCTTTGGCCCTTGCTTTTCATCTGCCAGAGTATTTTCCCCCAGTTCATCAACTATAAGCCATTTTTTTTTAGGTGTCAACTTATATGTCTCATCAGAAATGCCTTCCTTGATCACCTAAACTAGATCAGATCTTCCAATATAAACAGCGGTAAGACTTTTTTTCCTAGCACCACCATCTACCTAATGACGTATTATCTGTATATTATGGCGTTACCAACAACCACTCTGCTAACAGAATCTCTTTACCATAGCAGGTGGGTGTAAGACAGCTATGTTGAAGGAATGATGGGTAAATTGTACGCACCATGAAAACTATGCCTCTCTATTTCATTAACCCTTATGTCTGCATCACTTAACACAATTCTGTTGCATATTAGTAGCTTAATATATATTGTTGAAAGTATGTATTTATTTCCTATACCACTTTATTTTTTATTTTTATTTATTTATTTATTTTTTGAGACGGAGTCTCACTCTGTCGCCCAGGCTGGAGTGCAGTGGCACGATCTCGGCTCACTACAAGCTCCGCGTGCCCCAGGTTCACGCCATTCTCCTGCCTCAGCCTCCCCAGTAGCTGGGACTACAGGCGCACGCCACCACGCCCGGCTAATTTTTGCTGTATTTTTTAGTAGAGACGGGGTTTCACCACGCTAGCCAGGATGGTCTCGATGTCCTGACCTCGTGATCCACCCGCCTCGGCCTCCCAAAGTGCTGGGATTACAGGTGTGAGCCGCCGTGCCCAGCCACCACTTTATTTTTAACCTATCTTTCTCATTCTTCTTTTCCAGAGACTTTGAAGATCTGTGAAATGTGCCAGTTAGCATATAGATAAATAGATAGATAGATAGATAGATAGATAGATAGAGATATAGATATAGATATAGATATAGATATAGATATAGATATAGATATAGATATGAGACAGAGAGAGAGAATATTTGAGATAGATGTAAACCTAGGAGGACTACCTAGTTTCTTCATATAGCCACAGTGTTTTGTTCTCTACTTAGGTCTATATATGAAGTCATGCTTGAATCATGATTAAAAATTTCATTTCTTTAAAAACAAAGTCATCTATTGGTGTTGATGGAAATGAAGAGAAAGTGAAGATAAATAAAATTGATAATCATGCCTTTATAAACATATCTAGAAACTTTAAGGATAAGTTATATTCCAATGCATTTTAGAGATGAAATGATGTGTTATAGTGACACTGAGCATCTGTGATTGAGAAAATCTTAGTGTGTCAAGTGTTTTCTGCCTAGCTCTGAGCTCTCTCAATACTAAGAGCCCCGCATCTGCACTGGTATCTCTCACCTGCAATATGGCTATGCCTGACCCATCGTCATAATTCTGAGAACTATGTCACTGTCCAAGATGCTTTATATCTATAGACAGCACTGTCATTCTCCATGGAGGAAACCTTAGTTCTTCAATTGCTAACTATCTTTTATCTGATCAGTTGCCAAGTCCTGATATGTCCAAGGTCTACAAATATCTGAAGACCCAAATATAATTTCACCTTCCTCACAGAATCTTCCTGGTCTCTTCCTCAGGAGAAGCCCCTTCAGCATCTGTCTCTTTCAAGTAACACATTACTTTCTGCCTTCTATATAGCATAACTGCAGTAGAATCTGGCACATAGGAGCACTAGGCAATTTAATAATAATAATAAACATTGACGTACACTTGTTATCCTCCTAACTACACTCTAAGATCACTGGGGTCCAAATCTATGTCTTTTTCAAATACATATTTTTTAGCGCCTTACATGTCCATAACAGGAGAGCAACTCATGTGTTAATTCTTATAGATTGACTTCTCACATGGTTTCTCAAATTCTTCTTTTTTACCTAGGAAACACCATTCTAGAAATCAGTCTTTGGAAATAATTTATAACTAATTCTTCAAAAGCAATTGCTACAAAAACAAAAATTGGCAAGTGGGACCTAACTTAACTAAAGAGCTTCTGCACAGCAAAAGAAACTATCAACAGAGTAAATGGTCAACCTACAAAATGTGAAAAAAAATTTCACTAACTAAGCATCCAACAAAGATCTAATATCCAGAATTTATAAGGAACTTCAACAAATCAATAAATAACTCCATTAAAACATTGGCAAAATACATGAACAGACACTTCTCAAAAGATGACAAAATGGCAGCCAACAAACATGAAAAAATATTACACATTCACTAATCATCAGAGAAATACAAATCGAAACTACAGTGAGATACCATCCCACACCAGTCACAATGGCTATTACTAAAAACTCAAAAGACAACAGAGGCTGATGAGGCTACAGAGAGAAGAGAATGCTTATATACTGTTGGTGGGAATGTAAATTAGTTCAGTCACTGTGGAGAGCAATTTGGAGATTTCTCAAAAAACTTAAAACAGAGCTACCATTAGACTTAGCAATCTCATTGCTGGGTATATATCCAAAAGAAAACAAATTGTTCTACCAAAAAGACACATGCACTTACATGATTATTGCAGCTCTATTCACAATAGCAAAGACATGCAGTCAACCTACTTGCCCATCAAGGGTTGACTAGATAAAGACAATGTGGTACCTATACAGCATGGAATACTACACAGTCATAAAAAAGCATGAAGTAATGTCTTTTGCAGCAACATAGATGCAGCTGGAAGCCACTAGCTTAAGTGAATTAACGCAGGAACATTAAACCAAAAACCACTTGTTCTTACTTATAACTAGGAGCTAAACCTTGGGTACTCAGAAAAATAAAGATGGCAACAGTAAACACTGAGGACTACTAGAGAAGGGAGAGATGGAGGGAGACAAGGACTGGAAAACTAACTGTTGAGTACTGTGCTCAGTACCTGGGCAACATGCTTATTCATACCCTAAACCTCAGCATCACAAAATATTTCCAGGTAACAAACATGTATATGTACCTCCTGAATCTAAAATAAAAGTTGAAAAAAAGAAACTCTTTTGCCATCATCTTTATCCTGGCCTTTATTGCATTCCTCTATAGTAGCTTCAATTTCATTTCTTAGTATTGAGTGTCTTCCACCCGTTTCTCCAACATCCGCATCCTTGCCTTATTCTTTTTTTTAATGTGACTTTTCTGACTTAAAAAATGTTTATTGTTTTCTTATTGTATACTAGATTTCAAACGTATTCACTTAATTTTAAGGATCTTTGCCATCAGGCTACTGTTGACTTTTTTGATTGATGCCTCTGTTTTCTTGCACAAGTAATCCATACCAGGTTAATGTTTCCCCTATAATCCTGCTAATATACCCTGCATTTTTCCATCTTCATATATTTGTCAGTGCTTTCTCTTCTCATAGAATGTCCTCCATCCTACTTCCATTCTGTATCCAAACTAATTCACCTTGAAACTTTTCTGATCATATATAAATAATAAATTTTCACACATCTTCTCCCCTTTATATAATTAAAGTAATTAGTTTCAAACGTGTATCTTATTAATCTTTATATACCTCACAGTTACTAGCACTCTTTTAGTAGACTGAATTACATGAAAGTGCTGATGTTTGACAGTTCTGACCCTTAAAATGGAAATTCCACATAATCTAACATAATAATTTGATGCTGTCACAGAGCCAGTTTGGCAGTGATTTCAAGCCAGGGTCAAAATCTGGTAAGTGTGGACATGAAATCACTTAAAGTTTGTATTTTATTTTGAAAATTAGAGCTCGGGCTGGTAATCTAAATTTGGTGAAGTGTCATCCATTTCTTAAGAGACATAGGCTGCAGCTGGTGAGCATATATCAGCTTTCTAAGTGCGTCCTAAGGAGTCTCGTTTTTAACTTCCTTCCTTCCTTCCTCCCTCCCTCCCTCTCTCCCTCCCTCCCTCCCTTCCTTCCTCCCTCCTTCCCTCCCTCCCTCCCTTCTTTCCTTCCTTCCTAAAGGAATCCAGGTGGTAAATAATTGATAAATAGATGTGCTACGTAATCATGAATACCACTACTCAGGCATAACAGGAATATTGTCCCTTTTTATCTAGAAGACCAGTAATATTACTTTTCTTTTAACTGACAAGAGGAATCATTGCAAATAGTTATTCCAAATTCCAAATCTTTGCACAATTTATGAGAAATAATACATGAAACAAATGTTGTTAAGTAATCTTTACAATGTAAGTTAGTAAGGCAGGATAATTTTTAAAAACCCACTTTCATCATGAGATCATCAGTCAATGCACTGCTTTCTAGGGCATTAAAAATACTGATACGTCAATTTAAACAGTATTAACAATTCTAAAAGAGTTAATTTTATTTCCAAAGTGCCTATCTTTAGAATAGGTTTTATTTAAATCAAATTCTTTTTCTTCTCTTCTGAGATAAGATTGAGGAAGACTGATTTAAATACATATATATTTAATATATAAAAATAAATATAAAATATAAATATATAAAAATATATTTATATTATAATATATAGTCAATAAATAAAGGTGTGTATATATATATATATGTATATATATATATTTGCCTTATTTTTACTCAGAAAAGAAAACCACCCAAGGTGTGTTGGTTTGTCTTAATGTGGTCACTCTAAGTCAACATAATCTCATCTAACTTTATTTTAGCAATTGAAATGAAATCAGACTCATTCATCTAAACAAATGCCTGACATACAGAACATTGGAATTACATATAGTTGTTACTGATACCTGGTGGAACCATGAAAAAATCGTGTTATTTCTGTGTTTTCCATCTGTTTAATGTCGTTGATAATATTTGTAAGATAAGAACATCTTGAAGACAGAAACACGATCATACTTCTGTTACTTGTCTTCGCCTGAAACATTCTGCTTGGCATTCCCTCAATTTAAGAATATGCATTTGGCCCGGCGCAGTGGCTCAAGCCTGTAATCCCAGCACTTTGGGAGGCCGAGGCGGGTGGATCACCTGAGGCCAGAGGTTTGAGACCAGCCTAACCAACATGGAGAAACCTCATCTCTACTAAAAATACAAAATTAGCCTGGTGTGGTGGTGCATGCCTGTAATCCCAGCTACTCAGGAGGCTGAGGTGGGAGAATCTCTTGAACCCAGGAGGTGAAGTTTGCAGTGAGCCGAGATGGCGCCATTGCACTCCAGCCTGGCGACAGAGAGAGACTCCATCTCAAAAAAAAAAGCATTTATTTCTATTTTTTCTATTTCTTCTGTATCTTCTGCTTTACGCATTTAATTCCATTACGACTTTAAAACTTCATTTCTCTCTGCTTTGCTTTTGTCATAAGGGTATTGTAGTGAACAACCTTGCATTGTTCAAAATTATGCTGAATACTCAAATAAATGTATTGAGTATTACTTGCTAAAGGAGATGATACTCAAGGCTTTTTTTTCCTTAACATTGTAAACATTTTATTATCCACACCAGAGAAGTAGTAAAAAAGAGTAAATATTTCTACAAATAACAAATGAAATTAAATATTTTCATACAAAGACTATTTGATGAAAATCTTTCATAATTGCTTCATAAATTAAAACCTGAAAAATGTCTTGAAAAATGAGTTATACATTGTTTTTACACTGAAAAAAGCATTCCTCTAGTCTTCAGGAGCCTTGGTTAAGTTTAAGCTCAGCTCTAATTGTAATTAAATTTTCTCTGTTATTATGTATTTTTTAATAAAACATATTTTCTTGTGCTAAAAGTACTAGGTATTTACTGCTTCAGATTAATTCTGCATATAAACAGAGAAAATATTAATTAAGAATATTTATTAATATAATATAATCTAAAGAGGCATCATATACAAGGATATATTTGAAAAATATAAAGTGCTATATAAATTTAAAGTATAGTTGTTATTAAACATAATCGCATTAAATACCTAAAAAAGTAACACACATTTTAATGTATACAGAGAAAAATCATGGAATTTTTATTCCTTATACTCCATCTTAAATGTTTTAACCTTAGTTTAGCAAATTTATTTTTTAGAGTTCTAAGACTAGAAAAATCCAGGCTCACCATAATTATAAATGGGTTATGGATTTTAGAGGTACTATTAATATTAGAGGATAGTTTTTTTCCCCTTCGAGTAGAATGTATTTGACCTATCAAAAATAATAGATGGCTTAAGGGATATTTTTACACGATGGGAGAAGGTTTTGTCATTGCTCACACCAGGAGTATACATCATAGGTTCAAGCATATGGTTTTTGCTAAAGACAACTGCATCTGTGGTTCAGATCATTCATTACTGTAAAGGCAACTGTCATTTCCTAGAGATTAGTATTGGGGTTCCGAGTTCTGCTCTTCTTCAGATTGCAGTGTTGCTTAATTAATCATAAGAGCTAACTACCATCTGAACAGTAGGTTAAAATAAGAGTGCGAAAAAAGAAAAATCTGAGCATGATTGCTTTTCGTGCTCAGGGTTGGAGAGTACCCATAACTGGAATTGTAAGTAGGAGCAGGGCTGACCATACTTCTATCTAAGAAATGAGTTGGTTGCTAGTTGCTTTAATCTCACTGGTAGGTTGTTAAACCATAAGTACTGCCTTCCAAATACAACAAAGGAACATGACTTGATCACACTTTTGAAAATTTGTCTTAAATGTGTTCTGGTTTCTGTCATCATCTTTTCTTTAGATGAAAGAGTACAGCAATGATCTACAAGAAAA
Source organism: Homo sapiens (assembly GCF_000001405.40). Taxonomy (NCBI): domain Eukaryota; kingdom Metazoa; phylum Chordata; class Mammalia; order Primates; family Hominidae; genus Homo; species Homo sapiens. Next base: position 105,682,390 of record NC_000011.10, on the reverse strand, counting down.
ACATTTACAGGGAACAGTGGTGCATGTCTGTAGTCCCAGCTGCTTGGGAGGCCGAGGTGGAAGGATCACTTGAGACCAGAAGTTTGAGGCTGCAGTGCACTATAACTGTGCCTATCTACTGTACACTAGCCTAGGCAACATAGTGAGACCCCCCATCTCAAAAGTAAAATAAAATAAAGATATTAATTCAACATTACTTCAACACATTTTTATTGAGTGTAAACTATATACTAGGCTAGCACGGTCTAGTAGAAATGTAATGTGAACCACATGTGAAATTTCAAATTTTCTAGTAGCCAAACAAGAAAACAGAAATCAATGAAATTGTTATTATTATTATTATTATTATATTAGACAGAGTCTGGCTCTGTTGCCCAGGCTGGAGTGCAGTTGTGTGATCTCTGCCCTGCAAACTCTGCCTCCCAGGCTCAAGTGATTCTCCTGCTTCAGCCTCCTGAGGAGCTGGGATTACAGGCGCCCACGACCATGCTTGGCTAATTTTTATATTTTTAGTAGAGATGGGGTTTCACCATGTTGACCAGGTTGGTTTTGAACTCCTGACCTCAAGTGATCCACCAGCTTCAGCTTCCCAAAGTTTGGGATTACACATGTAAGCCACTGCACCCGGCCTGTTTTTAATCAAATATTTTATTTAACTCAGTGTATTGAAAATATTGTCAATTCCATATGTAATCAATATAAAAATTACTAATGAGGCATTCAACAAGTTTTTTTCATATGAAGTCATGAAAATTTGGAGTGCACTTTACACTTACAGAACATCTCAATTCAGACTAGCCAAAGTCCTCAATAATCACATGTAGCTACCACACTGGATAGTACAGTGATAGACACTGAGATTTAATCATGAACCAAAACACTTGATCTTATGGAGCTTACGTTTTAGAAATATAGATATTTGAATTTTGTGTGACATAAGCATTCATGTTTTCTTAGAGCTTCTAATTGAAGCCACATTTCTTCATGACTTTTCTTAAGTGCCACTTCACAAATATAAAAAAGGAATATCATGAACTTCAGAAAACAGTAAACAAATTGAATTGTTTCATCCCCCATCTCTTTCCAGGTCTGTCCTCACATCCCTCAGTGGCTAAGAATCAGGACATGTCCTTGAAATCTCTAATTTTAGCAACAAGTGCATGCAAAACTATTGTTTTCTCCCGCAACATCTCTATTTGCTTTACAAAATAGTGTTTTCAACTACTTATTATCAAGTCAAATGAACTCCCCAAGGATCATATGCTCTCTCTTTACTCCATGATTTTAAGTAATTCAGGTCTCACTGGAGACTCCAGTAAAAGGAATGTGGCGTTAGAAGTATACCAGTACTATAAGGGTGGAGTTTGGATTCTAAGACTTTACAAACCTCTCTAGAGAGGGCTTCCCAGTCCACACGGAATTCACTGAGTCCAGAGTGATTGGGATAATCTGTATGGAGGATGTTGTAATGTATGAGCAAAGTGGAGCATAAATGCCTCAGGGAAGATGTCTGCTTGCAAGGAGGTGAGTTACTTGTAATTGTGGCTTGTCATCTACCCTGAGATGGATACTTGTAAAATAGGACAAGGTGATAGAAATCACTCCCCACAGTCTCATAGGGAAACAATACTTCCTGCCAGAAAATTAGCTGAGAAACCTCACTGGGGAAGGGAGGAGGGTAAATACAGATCAGAAATTGAGTCACTTCTTAACCTCCATTTTGAAGATATATTTTTTTAAAAAGCACAGAAGTTCCAGGACCCCATTACAGACCACAGTCATATTTGGAATCCCACACAGCATTGCTTCCAGTAAGGAACTCACTTCGTAGCAAATAAAGTGTGCCAATTGGCCCATACACACAAAAACCACTAGTCTTACTATGTTCTTCACCATTCTCAAGCAGCTGGCTTCATAAAATGGCTTCAGAAATGACCTTTTTTTGAAGATTCAGCTGCAGTGCCAGCTATGAGGCATTAACCTTGCAGGTCTGGGGCGCTGGGCAAGGTTCTTCAAGAGGCTGTATATGCTCAGAATCAACATCCAATATATGGTACTATTCCTCCTATAGCCAGGATTTATGGGTCCAGGAACAAAGAGCTGGAAATGAGAGCAGCACCACTCACCATACCCCTAGTAACCCACTAGCAAAATGTTTGTATCCTGTCCCTGTGTCCTTACGAGACTCTGCTGGCATAGAGGTCTTACTTTCAAAAGGAGGGATGCAACTACCAGGTGACATAGCAATGATTCAACTAAACTAGATGTTAACCACTTAGGCAGTTTGGAATCCTCATGCTTCTAGGTAAACCGGCAAAGGAAGGAATTATTGTGCTGGCTAGGGTGATTGATCCTGACTACCAAGGAGAGATTTAACTGCTACTCCAAATGGGGGTCTAAAATACAGGTGCTCCCTTAGGGCATCTCTTAGTATTACCATAACCTGTGTTTAAAGTCAGGGGGAGACTACAACATAATCCAGGGAGGATTCTAATGGCCCAAACCCTTCAGGAATAAAGGTTTAAGTCACCACACCAGATGAAAACTACAGCCAGCTGAGGATCTTGCTGAGCTCAAAGGCAATGCACAATGTGTAGTGAAAGAAGGTTGTTATAAATACGAACTACAATTATGTCATGAGCAGTTCTTCCTTATTTTGTCATAAATATGTTCGTGTGTGTGTATATATATTTATATGTATAATCTTTTTTTCCTGTTCTTATTCTCTTGTCATATAACATAAGATGCATTTGCTTTATATCAATATTTAAGTATTGTTAACTTTATATCATAGTATTTCATTGCAGTATATCAAGAACAGTAAATATCACCCAGGGACTTTACATTCTCTTCTGGGATAAGGGTTGCTCAATTGTACGCAGAATAATTGTATTATGTTAGGCCAAAGTATGGCTTTGTTATTGCGTATATTTGGAGATTAAATATGGTTTAAGGAAATGCATATGGATGCCAAGTTTTCATGTGGTGGACTCAGATAGTGAATTTTATGTGTCAACTTAACTGGGCCAAGATGCCCAGATATTTGGTCAAATATTATTCTGGCTATTTCTCTGAGGGTGTTTTGTGGATGAGATTAACATTTAAAAAGGTGGATTCTGAGTAAAGGGGACTGTCCTCCATAACGTGGTTGGTTCTCATCCAATCAGCTGAAGATCTTAATAAAATAAAGACTGATATCCTCAAGCAAGAAGGGATTCTGTTAGAAGACTACCTTTGGACTTGAACTTCCACGTCGGTTTTTACCTTGGTCTCCAGCCCACCCTGCAGATTGTGGACTTGTTTTCCGCTATAACTGTGAGCCAGATTTTTTTTCTATATATACACATCCTATTGGTTCTATTTCTCTAGAGAACTCTAATACGTCTACTAACTCAGGATATTCTTAGTGGAATCTCCAAAACAAAATTTTTACATGTTTTTTAGGGCATTCTGATTCAGTTTTGGAACCTTTTCCAGGGGGAAAATTAACTATAATCCTCCCCTTACTTATGACCACTTCATCCTGAAAAACCTCAGATATTTCACTCCAGAGTTAAACATTAGCTTTATTTTATTTATTTCTGCAAATAATATACTTTTACCTTAATGGTATTTGAGAAAATTATCCTGGAATAACTTATTCAGAGTTTCATCTACTCATAATTTCTTGATGTGCTTCACTAACATCAACTGAATGGCAATTTCAATGAGAAGCTTTTTTGGAAAAACACTCAGAAATTAATTTTGAAAACTAAAATTTAGAGATAAATTTTGAAGGTTAGACATAGAACCTATTCATGGAGCAACAGGTAATGAGGATTGCTTAAATAAGTGTAGAATACAAACTCAGTGCTGCCTACATGAAGTGTCAAAAAATGTATTTCATTCATGAGGTAACACTTATGAATAGAAAATTGAAATAGAAAAGCATTAGCTTCCCCAATTAAAAACAGAATTAAAGTGAATAAAACAAGTGAGAACAATTTTCAGCTATTACTCCCTCTTTAATCTTCTGAAATACTTGCTTACTAACAGTGAAGATAATGGGTAAGGAGCATTATAGTTCTAAGTGAGAAGGAAAACATTGTAATCAATGCTGAAATAGATTTATCTTAAAGTAGGGGCATAATTGGGCCCCCACGTCAACTTTGCATACACTCATAGAGGACTTTCTTATTATTAGTGACCCAAATCTTGGCTTAAATATAACTTGCTCTCAGATATGAAATACATATAGTACAATCTTTTTAAAAGTGCATACTTGAAAAAACCTTATAGTTGGGATCACCAAATTAAATAAAAATAGGTTGATTATTGTTTTATCTGACAAATATTTATCGAGTGTCTACTTCATGCAAGGAACTATGTGAAGCCTTAGTGATATATGGGGAGATAAGATGGACATGGTTTCTGCCCTCATGGAACTTATAGACAGGCTTATGGGAAACACAGACAAACAAATATGCTTCACAATGCAACATGTCCAAGTTCGTCATAATCTACAGAGTCTCTGTGACCTGATCATTTGAAAATATCAACTTTGTTCATGCACATTAACCATACTAGCCTTCTGTGATTGCTATTTCCTGAATCTAGAATTCCCTTTTTCTAAGATCTTGGCATGGCTAGTTGCTTATCCTCATTTAGATCCCAATTCAACTATTATCTTCTGTGTAGACTGAAATTTCTGCATGGCTGTGCTAATTTTAAGTTCAAAGGAAATTCTAGGTATGAAAGATGAGGAGTTTGAGAGGTGGTGGGCTAAATTACATGAAAAAGTATAGTTGCAATATCTAGCAATTTCTCAGATTCTGATTTAAGTTTGGCTTTTCTTTTTTGGTAGGAGATAGATGAATAAACTACTTCTTTGTTTGAATTTATAGATTCCTTCTGAAAAAAATTCCTAGTTCTAATGCATTGCTTATTTCCCATTTTTTACATCTTAATTTGCTGATATTTTATTAGCTGATCATACAGATCATCAGGAATGTTTCCTAGTTCAGGAAAATTATAATGCTATCTCAATTATTTTTGCCCCATTAACCATTTGCTCAGTTAATTTTACAAGTATCAATAGTGCATTTCTTGACTGTGATTATCACTCTGACCTTCTCTTTAATTGACCAGAGGGCAAAACAGAGTCAGAGAGATTGTGCAAACGTACTTTGTCTTTAAGTGTTTACAGCTTAATTATTAACTTTGCAACATTCCTAAAGATAAATAAAAATTTTAAAAAATGGATCACTTGGTTGTCACTCTTTTGAAAACAGTGAAAGTTATAACTTTATCTTAATTCTTTCACTCATATTTATTTATTTGAAAATATTATATAGGGCTACTTTTGTACTTTACAAATACTGTAGTCAGTGTAATTGAATTATGCAAATGGAATGCATGTTTTTCTTTTTAAAAACATGTGACTTATGCAGTCTATTGCACAAATCCTCTATAATATCTCCATGAAAACTTCTGCTAAGATATAAATTGGTAACACACACTTTTGAAGGTAACACAGACAGGATTATGTACGGACTCAATAAATATTGTTGAATTCAGTAACAAGAACTATTTCCCTTTCTAGAGCTACCCAAAGTAAGTCACTTCCTTTTCTTCACTCATGGTTAACCTGTGCATGCTTCCATAATTGAATTCATTCTATTGAACTTTGTTTTCACTATTGATTTTAAATTATACAAATATTACACTATCACATGAGAGAGAATGCTAGAGTTCACTTCTGTCGCCACCAACATATCCGGTTCTTTTTACAAGTTACTGTTATCAATTTATATATACATTTCCTGACTTCTTCTGATGGATTTGCACACATACAAACACATACCTTATAGATATAGTGATTCTTTTTTTTATAATTTTTAACATATAAGATATCAAATATGTTTTCCAAATCAAAATAAACTTTTTTCCTAGTCCTTCAAATGTTGCAGAGTACTAGAATGTATGAGTTCAAAATAGTTTTTTTAGTCATTATTGAAGGAAGGGCATTTGGTTTGTTCCTCTGTTTTCTCTAATACAAGCAATTCTGCAGTAAAATCCTGAAACTGCCTCCTGTGTACTTGGGCAAGTATTTTTCTAGAGTAGATACCAACTGCTGCTGGTTCCTGGAAAATATTCATACCTATTCAATTACAATATTTGTTACCAAATCTCTTTATAAATTTTCTATAGTAATTTATATATCCATCAGCAGTGTAAGCACTAATCTACTCCTTAGTTTTTCCAATATTAAAGATACTTTATTACACACTACAATTAAAAAATAACATTCTCTATTTTATTTATTAGCATATCCCTGTTCCTAACATATTTTACAAGATTCATAGGTGTTCATTAAATACTTGTTGAATAAATTAATATGTTTATAAATGTGAGAAGGCTAACATGAAAGGATTGAAAACATTGTAATGTTTCGCAAGTAGCTAATTATATCCTTGGAATTACTAACGCCAGACTAGGAACAAATGAAAGAACTCAAGACATCTGGAATGTGTCTACATTTTTCACTTTTAAACTGAATAACTGAAGTAGTATAAATATCAAAATATGTAATTTAAGAGATTCCCATATTTGTCAAAATATATGATCCCCAAATTTTAAAAAGTGTATTTGGATTCTGAAGTAATAAAAGCACTTGGTAAGCCATGCCTACCAACTAACCACAGGCAATCAACCATTACAGAGACATGGTTTTCTGATTTCAAGATTATAGGAAACACTGAGAGTAACTGGATAATGCCTCCAATGTTTCATGATTTCTGTAGATCTTGTTCTTAAGAAAATAGGTCAAAGACACTACATTGAATTCCAACTGGGGAGCAATATGACACCTGAGATAAAAATTTTGGAGTGTCAAATTATGCTACCTTAAAGGTTTCTATTAAAATTTAAGCAAGAGAGGAACGCTAATGCTGGAAATTAGCTTATTAAATTTACTGGCAAAGAAACTATGCTTAGAATCCTAAATGTTGGGAACTATTCTTTGTTTACCATGTCAATAAACAGATGTCTCCAGTAAATAAATTTTGATGAAATTCAAAATGTGCAGAAGATTTCAGTTCCAAATTAACTGGATCACAAAAATCACCCCAAATTTTCTATTTTTTCCTATAAATAAATGTTAGTCTTTTACGAAGATAGTACCAGCACGAGGGGGAAGCAGTTTCCCATGAGAATTTGCTCTACCTCACCATCAAGTCATACCTAATTACTTAAAAGTAGAAATCAGCTCAAAGCATGTGCCCTTAATTGACTACCTTTTCTGAGTCTCAGCTATAATGAAAATTTTGAAAAGAAGATGAACCCTCTGCCTGTCAGCTACTATAAGAACTTTTTCCCCAAGGAGCTCTCTTAGTACTTAAAAAATGTTCTCCATGCAGGGATTTCCCTTGTTACATAGGCACTTATAGCTTCAATTCTTCACAAGTCTCTGAGGATTAAGAAGAGAGGGTTAATATTTTCATCTGTAAGATGATGGGCTATCACTACTAAGGTTTTGATTTGACAACTGAACTTCTTGCTTGAATCTGCATTTGTTTTATTTTTCATGGAATAAAATGTTTGTTTTATATTATCAGAGAGTAATAGTAAAGTAAGATTCCATTTTCTTCTTGCAATGCTCCTCTTTTAAACCTTGGGAAGTAGGTTTTCCTCTGGATCCAAACTTTTAATTCCCAGTAGTAATAACTATAATAATACAATGTGTATAGTAGCACCCATATATTAATGAAATTGCTAGAATAGTTAGATTTACTGCTTATTCAGACAGTTCCAAATTTTCGGGTAAATGGAAGTCATGTAGTCCAACTACATAGTAATTAATAATTTTTTTTCAGTGACTGCATTATACTATAGCCTATATTTGGCCACAGTGTTACTACTATATTCATAGGCCGTCTGCTCCATCGCTTTTCTTCCAACTAAGCCAATACAAAAATCATCCTGAGGCGGATATGTTTCTAGATCATCTAGTAGCTAAGTTACAGCAGTCTAAACTTGACTATTTGAGTAAATTTAAAAATCACCCCTCCCCTGCAACTCTCTCACACAAATCATCAACTTAGCAAAATTGTTATTTAATCAACCATTGCTAAAATTCATTGTGAAATTGATTTACTTGCATGGTAAAATGTTAAAACACCAGGCTACCAAAATGAGATATATGCATATTTCATAAACATGATTGTAATAAATCGGTAGAATGTTTCACTATTAAATAGAAGAAATACATATTAAAAGTGCTCACTATCCAGTTCCACATATATTTACACATTCTCCATGCTTTATAAATGTTGCAGGCAAATAACAAGTTCTACTTGATATGCAAAATGTAACTTCAAGTTGATTACATATGCAGATAATTGTTAAGAACTCTTTTCTTTGAATCTCAGTACATTAAAAATACCCAGGAACACATTAAAATTCATTTGCATTTAAAAATATGATTCTCCTTGACTTTGAATCTATATTCCATTGATCTTATAAATTGATATGGCTAATTTTTAGAAATAGTCTTATCAATGATAAAATTTCTAAGTATAATAGATATTTTATACATTTTGTGTTTTAAATATTTATTTATTTTTAATTTATTAAACAAACGTTAATTCAATGCCCAAATTTTATTTTTAAGAAATGTGAGAAACTTCAAAATAAATATAATAAAGCTCTTTCATGTGAGATGAATGTGGGAAAAAATGAGAGCAGTAAATTATGATCTGCCACCTTGTCATAATTCATAAAATTGCTAGCGAGTGGATACAAGATATTTCCATGTTCTACAGAAAGGAGGAGTAAAGAGTTAAACTGTTTGTTTTTAATTGAGAGAGAGAAAAATCTGCCTTCCTGATATCAATTTAAAAGAAGCTCAATCTAGTTTTATATTTTGCCAATCTAAATTAGAAGTTCGGATAACTGATCTGGATCTCTATATTCTTTTTCACATATTTATAGCACTTTGCTCATCCCCCTATTTAAGCACTTACTACATGACTGTTTATGTTACATTTCTTTATTTATTCATTGTTTTGTGAGCTAGCCAAGTCAGGCACTTAGTCAAATCCATGGTTTCAGCACCGAGGACAGCGCTTCTGTTAGTTAATTTCTTCTTGGGCTCTACCTTCCACAAACTTAGGATGTGGGGACAATGTAGGCAGTACAATGCACTGAGGTAGGTAAGATGATAATTTGCATTCAGATATGAGAACATGAATGAGAACTTGGGTGGGTGGAGGTAAGTAGCATGCAGTGAGACTGGAGAGGTGAATAGGAACCAGATGGTATAGACTTTTTCAGCCACATCTGGAGTTTAGAGTTTACTCTAAGAGCATAGGGAATAGGTTATAATGGTTTAATCAGGGAAGTTAATTGAGCTATCCCATCTAATTTTCAATTCCGAAAGTTCAATTTGGCTATCAGGAAATATGTGTCATATTCTAAAAATAAAATTTTAAAAATAAAATTTTAAATGAATACCTGCATTTAATAAATAATATAACTGAAATAATATAACTGTAATTTTAGATTGGTAAAAGTCATAAAGTTTGGAAAAGTAATTCTGTTTTTAAAATACTGAATCCTCAGGTTAACACACACACATATTATTTCTTACAGTACTTGCAGGTAAATTGTGTGTATGGCTGGGTCTCTGGGTGAAAATGAAAGGTGCCAATGCAGCAAGACACAATTATAAACAACTTGGCTTTGAAGAAGTCATCATTGTTGGAAATACGGATTAATACTGAGCTCTACATTGGAAAATTGTTCTAAGTTTTACATTCAAAAGTTAAACTGTTTCTGCTGGGACCACTGGACTTGTCTGGGAAAGTTTCATAGACAGATTTTTAACATTATCATTAGAAAGTGTCCTTCTACTTGTGGTATATTTATAGTAAACTGAATACAGTAACATTGAAACTAATTTTTCTCAGTAACTTGAGAGTTATATTAACTTCATTTTCTCATTAACATAAATAAAGTGTTCTTGCCTTAGCTTTGAAGCAGAATGGATATGATTGAATATGCTTTCTAAAGGTGTGACTACAGAGAATACTTGTTTGATCTTCCCATAGCACTTGGCCCAGTTTTATGTGTACAGTGGGCAATCAATGACTGTCTTTTGAATAAAAAATGAAACTTGTGATTATTCAACTCATTTTAATTGAATGCAATCCTGAAATGGCACAAGAATTGCAGTAACTGATTTTTAAAATTTATTTTTATAACCTTTCACCATGTTATTTACCCTCAATTAAAATTCTATTTTGTGCCATGTCATACAAAATGTCAGTTTTTAATGATAAATGTTCTCCACAGTTAGAGGTTCAAATACCAGTGAGAGTGATTAAGCTGTTCTAGTGCCAGCACTGCAGAAATAATCACCACAGCAGAATTCCCTGAAATGTGAAAGCAAACGGAAACAGCACTCAGAATCCCCTGATTGTGGTTGTTAAAAAACAGACTTATAAGCCCTATCAAAAGCTTCCTAAGTCAGCACATGGGGTGAGTGGAGTCTGGGAATGTACATTTTTAACAGACAGCCTAAATATCAACTGTAAGAATGGAATAGAACGTTACTAATATTAATAGTCATTTCCTTAAGAGTAAATGATTATCTTGTAAAATTTTTCTTCCCATAATATATTGACTATAAAATTAATTCCAAAGTTATTCTTTTTTTTTTTTTTTTTTTTTTTTGAGACAGAGTCTCACTCTGTCACCCAGGCTGGAGTGCAGTGGTGTGATCTCAGCTCACCGCAACCTCCACCTCCTGGATTCAAGCGATTCTCCTGCCTCAGCCTCCCAAGTAGCTGGGATTACAGGTGCCTACCACCACACCCAGCTAATTTTTTGTATTTTTAGTAGAGACGGGATTTCACCATGTTGGCCAGGCTAGTCTCGAACTCCTGACCCTAGGTGATTCACCCTCCTTGGTCTCCCAAATTGCTGGGATTACAGGTGTGAGCCACCACACCCAGCCCCAAAGTTATTCTTATTTTGAAACTCATTTGATCTATTATCAAAGTCAAAAATGAAACCTCTGTTGACCACCTCTTCTATACAGTGCTTTGAACTCTTCCTTTTTCCTCAAGCTATTTCTTCATCTATTTTAATAAGAAGCCATGGTAGGTAGAATGGTCCCACAAAGAAGTCCCTTTTCTAACACCTGGTACCTGTGAATATGTTACCTTACACAGCAAAAGAAACTTTGCATATATGATTAAGGTTAAAGACCTTGAGATATGGAAAATTATCTGGTATTACCCAGGTGGGTCTGATGTAATCACAAGAATCCATAAAAGCAACCAGCTGTGGTAAAAGGGGAAGATGTGACTCAGTGTGGAAAAAGGGCAGAGAGAGATGCAATGTTGTCATCTTTGAAGATGGAGGAAGTGGGCCACAAGCCAAGCAATGAGGTAGCCTCTAGAGGATGGAAGAAGCAAGGAAACAGACTCCTACCACCACAAGAAAGGGATGTAGCCTTACTGATCTATTGATTTTAGCCCAGTAAGACCCCTTCCAGACTTCTGGAATTTTAAGATAATAAATTGATGCTGTTTTAAGCACTACATTTGTGGTAATTTGTTATGGCAGCCACAGTAAGCTAATACAGAAGGCATTGGCTTTGATCCCACCTATGTTTCTTTATTTACAACCCAAATACTGATATGACTGTTAGCTGACATGATACCCTAGTTACTACCAGTTCAGCTTTTCAAACTATAGCTAAGGATGTGAGAAATTTACAATAAATACACTTATGCATGCAATATACCCAGGTATTTAGAATTGAAGATTTTATCACCAAAATTATGTTTGTTGCATGCACTTGTAACTGCTGAGAAGGTAAAATAGTTTGATAAAGTAGAACTGGTCTTAAAATAGATCTAGATCATCTACCACTTCTTAGCTGTGGTATTAGACAAACACTTCTGCATTTATCTGGAAAACAGGTATGACAATGCATAGGCTTCTTTCCCAGGGCCTCTGTTTTATTAAAATGAAACAAAATTAGAAAATAGACCTTTTGGACTTTAAAGTGTTCTACAAATGTATGACATTTTAAAGTGTTACAGTAAAGTATCCATGGAAATTAAGCTACCTTAAAATAAACCAACATAAGAAGGAAACAGCAGAAGATTTTATGTACTGTATATGCTCTCCTTGAATACACAGGCACAATACATCTTAAGATTTTTGATTACTTTCCCAGAATCTAGAAGGAAATTTCCTCAACAAATGGTATATTCTCATTACTCTTTTATTCTGGAAAATAAAATTTATTTTTTTATTTGTGTTATACCTTACATTTACTACAGCCATCTAGTCTAAAGGGAAGAATAGGCGATGGTTTGACAGCCTACATTTTAAATGCACATCCTTTGTTTTCTGAGCCCACATGGTGTTTCTGTATAATTTTCTCACTGGGTATAGAAGCCTAGATGTCTGTTTTAAAATATGTCTATTTTACAGATGTATCCATCCGGGATCAGCAGCCTGCAGAAACAACTTTGCAAAATTTACCTCTTTGGTTTAGCTTAAGGGAATTCGTTAAAAATGACTAAAACTGACAATAGAGAATTATGTGACATATGGAATACCTTGACACACAGTGTTTATTTATTCACAAAATAGTACCTACCTAATATGAGCTGGCAGGCTACTGCATACCTGAGATATAGAGGAGAATTTATACATATGTGTAAAGTCTCTGAAGTCCAGATCTGAGTTGGGGACACAAACAGGTAAACCACAAAGTGTGATAGAGGATTACAACAGATCTGTGAGAACACAGATTATCTGTGCGTAAAAATGAGGTGGATTTTGAAAAGAGAACCTGATCTTTTATTTGTTAGTTTAAAAATGTGGTTGAAATACTCCAAATCAGGAAGATTAGCATGGAGATGTGATCGTGTATCCTAAATGGGTGAATTTGGAAATTATAGTATTGTTTTATTTTAAACAAAAAGATATAATATATATATGACATGATATATGAATATAACATTGTGTGTATATGACATAGTATATGACTATTTCTATATATACACATTTACATATACATTAGAAAAATATTTTAACTGTGGTGTGGAGAGATTAAAGTTGAGAGAGACTGGTGTAAAGCTGGTACACAGAAGGTTATTGTAATTGTCCAGGAAAAAAATTGCGGTCTAAATTAGGACAGAAGTTGTAAGAGCAGAAAAGAAGGGACAGATTATGAGAGAAATTGAGACAGTCGTGGTAGAAACAAGCAGGATTTGGTGACCGATTAAAGGTAGCAACTGTGGGAGATACTATAAAAATGACTTCAACTTTTCTGCACACACTGCTGAAAGGTATGCACTCTAAGAAAGCCGCAAATGGCAGAGGGGTGAGGGGTTTTTGAACATTGTGATGTCTGGGATATCTAGGTGGCAATGTCCAGCAGAAGGTTAGAGACAGATACATGGAGCTCAGGAAAGTCGTCAATATTAAAGCAGTCAATTTGGAATTAATGTCTAAATACCTTTTAAACTAAATGGGTAGCCAAAAAAAGATAAAATGATGAGATTGTATCAAACTAAATAAAAGACTTCAGCACAGCAAAGAAATCAGTAGAGTGAAAAGGCAAATGATGGGAGGGAGAAACTATTTGCAAGCCCACTGCACGCCAGCCTGGGCAACAGAGCGACACTCTATCTCAAAAAAAAAAAAAAAGACAAAAGATAATAAGTGTTGTCAAGGATGTAGAGAAAAGGGAACCTTTGTATACTGATGGGTGGGTGGGAATATAAACTGGTAGAGTCATTATGAAAAATGGCACAGCAATTCCTCAAAAATTTAAAAATAGAACTACCCTATGAGCCAGCAGCCCCTCTGTTGGGTGTATACCTGAAGGAAATGAAATTAGTACCTTGCAGAGATATCTGCACTTCCATGTTTATTGTAGTATTATTCACAATATCCAAGACATGAAAACAATCCAAATGTCCATCAATGGATGAATAGTTTTTAAAATATTTTATATATATACAATATATAATAATTCTTAAAACTATTCATATAGTGAATAATATTCTATTATGTCTATGTATAGATATATGTATTAAGATCTACCCTCTTAGAAAATGTCGAATATATAATATAGTATATATATATATATATATATATATTATATGTGTGTGTGTGTGTGTGTGTATATGCAATGGAGTATTATTCAGTCATAAAAAGGGACATCCTGCAATTTCCAACAATATGGATGAACTTGGAATGCAATAAGCCAGAAACAGAAAGACAAATACTGCATGATCTCACTTATATGTCAAAGCTAAAATAGTCAAATTCATAGAAACAGAGAGTAGAATGCTGGTTGCCATGGGCTAGGGGAGGGGAAAATGGGAAGATGTTAGTCAAAGGGCACAAGATTCTTGTTATACATGATTCAAAAGTTCTGGAGATTTATGTACAGCATAGTGACTATATATAATACATATATAACACACATGTTTTATATATTTGAAGTTTTCTAAAAGGGTAGATTTCAAAAGTTCTCACCACAAAATTAAAAAGAAAGAAAATGACAACTATGAGAAATAAAAGATATGTTAATTAGCTTAATTGCCATGATCATTTCACAATGTACACATATATCAAAACATTCAGCTGTGTACTTTAAATACATACAATTTTTATTTATCAACTATACCTCAATAAAGGTGAATAAAAAGAATAGATAAATGAGAGGGACACAAATTGCTGATCAATGTAAATTTTTCTGAGCGTTATAGTTGTACTCAGGTTGTTTATGAATCCTCTTGTATTTGAAAAGTAAAACAAATAATGGGGAGGCATAGAGATAACTAGGATGGAAGAGAGCTCAAAGGAGATATTAGTTTTCTTTTAATATTTTGAAATTTTATAAGAATAACTTGTATAACTAAAAACACTGAAAAGAAACGAGTTCATTTCTTTTTGAGCTATTTTTCAAAACCATTTTCTCAAATGAAATGGATTAGGCCCGTCTTTGATATCTTCATCTCCCTTTGGGCCTTTTAATTTCTAGGCATCCAGTAACTTTTTTAGTTATCATCTCTTACTGTGTTTATCACCATAGTAAGTTATATAATAACCTCTAATAAACATTAAATCCAGAGGAGATTAAATATAGGGTATCTTCGTAAATGGTAATTTGCTATATTTTTTTCCTTGCTAGGTGCATACAAAATCCAACACAGGGTACATAATTGTTTTTCTTAATTAAAAATTTTTCTGAGTTGAATTATCTTGTCCACAGAATGTGTATTTTAACTGGCTCTGAATATGTGTAGTTATGTTGTGATTTTGAACAGATTTAAACATATAATTAGGAAATCCATTGTAGGAACCACTTCATGCCTCCCATTCACACTTCCACAAGAACAAATGAAGATACTGAGTGATCTTGAGAGTATGCACAGACCGTGTGCTGCAAAACCCCACAGAGATAAAAGGTAGTTAATTTAGGAAGATACTTAAGAACTTCATAATTTAAACGTGACCAAAACAAGCATTAAAAAAATGGCAAAGGAGATGCTCAGAAGCAAAAGCAAACAAAGGAGAGAATTAAATAATGTTTCATGCAAGGCACAACAATGATCAGGTTAAAAAGTTGAAAAAAAGAAAGAAAGCCAGTATGTATGATTTACTTAAGTTAACCACAACGTGTATTTAGCTATTCTTTTATAAATACTTCAAAAAAGATTAAAACAACACATCACCAAATATTAAGGAATTATATTTAGTAATTTAATTATTCAATTATATTAAAGCAATAAATATAATAATCATTTACTAAGAGTTTACTTTATGCAAACACTACTTCAGTTGAATAGATGCATTATTTCATAGTTTTTAAGAGAGATTAGGTTTTCCAGAATATCTTGCTTAAAGCCAGGCAATCCAGAAACCATGAAGGAATAAACTCATTTTCATATCTACAAGATAGCATCTTTGATAAAATGTAATTTACTTGTCTTTTCCTTACCTCTCCATGGAATAGTTTAAAAAGGACATAAGCATTTATGGAAATATGTTTTATTGTAAGCATAGTACCTGTTATATAATAGTATTCAAAATATATTGTTTGAATGAAAGGATTAGTGAATAATATGGTACAATCAATAGAAATTTATAAATTATCTTAATTTTATATTTAACTAAAATGGTTTTTAAAATTGTTTTCTTTGAGAAAGAGAAGCAATGGTTCAGAGGCCATGGTTTAAAGTTATTTCAGTACACAGCCTTACCTATTAATAGCTATCACTTTACCTCTATACAGAAAAACATTAAAAGAATACAAATTCAAAATAAGATGTAAAGGCACATGGTTTTGATGAATACCTGAATTTCATTTGACTGATCACTAGTTATTCCCTGTCCAGCTGAAAGGTATGAATAGTATCCTTCTTGGGCAACAACAATCATCCATCACGTACATGCAAGCAAGCAAGCAAGTATAAATGTTTCTTGATTAATGGAATGGAGACCAAGCTTGGTATTTCTTTCTGTGAAATGTTTTATGAGCATTAAATTCATTGAAGGAAGTGTCTCACAAATAGATGTGATATAATAATATCTCCCTAATTTTATCTGAATGCTCCTGGGGTCATTTTGGCATAAATTACGCCCAAAGAGAAAGTTTTTTAATTCCAGTGATAATTGAGAAACTAGCAGTCCTTTGTGCCTTTTATTTTGGCTGTATTAAAAACAGGAATTAATTAATAGCTTTGTTTAGATGTTAAATGCAGGGAAATCACTTTACACCTGTGCTTCCTATTTTCTGGGCTCCTTGTACTTTCAGCTCCTAGTGCCTCATAAAATGCCCTGGCTTCCTGCAGTATCCTCTCTGGTCCTGCACTGCTCTCATTCTCGAAGGCCAGTGCAACCTCCGGGATACGCTAATGGTGAGAAACCTGGGATAGAAAGCAGACTGACTGAGTCAAAATTTTTGCTGTCACTTTGTATCTATATAATTAGGACAAGTAACTTAAACTTTCAGGGGCTCAGTTTCTTTACGTAAAATGGGAATAAAAGTATATTTCTCATAAGGTAATTGTCTTAAGTTAGTACCCCTAAATATTGAAAAGGATGTTTGGTACACAGTACTGAAAAAAGTATTGAGGCAAATACTTGCTTTATATAATAATTTGACTCTCATAAAATGAATTTTGTATTTGAATGCTAATAGGAAAAGTTGAGAAGAGAATTTCAAAAAAACTCTTCATAAGAGTGTATTTTCATTTTTAGTAATTGCTAAAGTTAAAATATTTGGTAAATCAAATTATGGTCAGGTACTTTGTCATTACCTCAAATTACCTCAAATTAATTCATTTAGAATTATCTCCCAAATATTGCCAAATTTTCTCACAAATAGTGCCAGTTTGAATTTGAATAAATTAATTGAAAATGTTTCTTATAATTGCTTATTCTTTTGGAAAAAGAATCAAATGTTTAGATCCTTGGGGCATCATTAAACAAAATGGAAATCACCCAATTGATTCTATTGTGAGGTGCATATTAGAAAAAGACAAAACCCAAAAGACTAAAACTAAGCATATTTCTCAATCTGCAAAAATAATTATATTTGAGATCCCGTGACATTTTTTCTGATTTAACCATTGGTCCAAAAGTGATTTCTCTTTTGAAGACTGGCCATTGCTGTCTTTCACAGGAGAATAATTAGATCACACTAGTTTAAAAAAATAAGATTTGTAATTGGTTGTTTTCAGTAAATTATCTTACAAATAGAAATGACTACTGGTTCTACCACACAAAACAGTGCTAGATAATGTTAGTGGCAATGTGTGTCAAAGCTACAAAGTACCATTAATAGAACTAACGTTATCTCCTTCATTTATACATGAAATTATGTCATTTTCCTGCTTATATCCCGATTTGGGATATAAATCAAACACATTATTCTGATTTTCAAAGTCTGTTTGTGCCCATACCTCTTGGATCTCTTATGCCTTTTTCTCATTTGCTCACCAGCTACTCTGTCCTACTGCTGGTCACATTGGTTTTCTTTCTGTTCTCAAACTCGGCAAGTTCATTTGATCCTAGGGCCCTTCATTTGCACTTCTTTTTTCTGACCTCCACTTATCCAGTGCCCCGTCATTTATATCACAGCTAAAGATGTGACTTCATATGAGAGACCTTTCCTAATCACGCACATGACTAGAATGTAGGTTCCATAAAATCAACACCTTGGCTGTGTTATATTCTTCACGGCATCCCTCAACAACATCACACATACTAGATACTCAACATATTATTTGTTGAGCAATAGAATAAGCTCACACTCTTTCCTACTAGTGATACATATAGCTTTTCCTTCGATCTTCCTGACAACCCTGCAAGGTAAATATTATTATCATGGTAGTAAGGGCCCACATTCATGTAGTGCATCTATCTCCAAAAGTTATTTTTCCATTAACCTACTATGGAGGGTTCACAAAGACGAATGAAAAGTTGAGCACTGTTACATAGCTTAAAAAGTCTGCTTTTATACTTTAAAAACTCTGCTCTATACACCAGGAAGATGTTATTATTATATAAATGGACTATTGACTTCAGTGTCATCTTCGAAATGGACCCTACTTTCCAGCCATATAAAGTTTTGAAAGTTTCCCTATATTTGAGTCATTTTAAAACGTTTATTTCTCTATGTTCTTCTAAGTGCTGCTCCTTAATGCTGGAATACCTTTCTCCCTGGTGTCATCCACATCATCATCTAGTTCCTCTAAGAAATGGAATTTCAAATGTTAGATTTCTTTTGCAAAGCCTTTCCCTATTCCCTTATTAAAGCTAGTCCTGTCATTGTCTCTATTTAAGTATCATGCTGGAAATACTTCTATTGCAGCACTTGTCACTTTAAAATATATTCACGTTTTGATTTTCCCCGTGAGACTATGAGTTCCTTGAGAGTAATGACTGTGCCTTACTTATCTGTAGAGCTCAGTACCTGGAATATAGTAGATGTGCAATAAATGTCTGTTGAAGAAATAGATGAATTTAGAGAATCCCAGTTATTGATAACTAAAATGAGAACTAGTTGTTGAACTAACGTACTATTGTGAGCTTTATAATTAATTTTCTTAATTTTTAAATTAGGAATGTTATGAACCTTGAATATATAATCTAAATTAAAAATGGCTTGAGTAAATCAATGAACTTGGTAATAAAGTTATATAAATCAATGAACTTGATATAAAGTTATATTTTTTAAGACAGTTGTCCTTTTTAAAACATTTTATTTTCAGAGGCATGAGTTTATAGTTATTATAAACTCAATTATAAAGATAGGCTACAAGGATATTTTAGATTATCTGTCGTGATTATTTTTTGGCAAGACTGTTCCCATTCACTGGTTTTGAGATACTCTTATTTTATGTATTTACTCTCTGTGTCATGGCTGTAATTTGGTGTCAGAGATAGTGTGAGTGTCGCTACAATGATGTCTACATATGGAGTTTAAAGAACACAGAGGGCCCTTCTGTTGCTCTCAGTAACTCTGAGAAAACCTCAGTCTCAGCCTGGGAACTTACTGTCTCTGCTTTTTAACCACTGGCTTTTTTTGAAATGTGTAGCTTTCTGCCACATCATTTATTTTAATCAATAGATCTTTCTGCAATGGATGCCCCCTTTGTGATCGAACACTTGCTTTGTTACATATTATTTTCCATCTGTCTCAAAGTTTCACTTCAGAATGAGTAAAGAATGAGTAAAGAAGTAAAACCATTTTTCTCTCTAAAATTTCAATAGTTATATATTGCTGTTGCTTGCACACTATGGATTCTTCTTACTGATTTGACAGATTCCTTTTTCGTCTCTAACTTGAACTCTCCACTTTGGTCTGCTGACATTCTCGCTTCCCACCCTATCCTTCTCCCCACCAAAGACTAACAGTGTTTTTTCCTCTGTATCTGTTTCCATGCCTTTCTGCCTCATGGAATGCAGTTCTCCTTTCCTTTCTATCTGATCTTGGTTATTTTTTATCAGTGGAAAAGCTTATAGTTTAGAAACAGGCAGACCTAGGTTTAACTTCCAGTTTTGCCAGTTAGAGATACATGCACTCAGACAAGCTAATCAACTGATCAAACTCAGTTTTCTCACCTGTAAAATGAATATTTTTAGAAGGGTTAAATACAATAACATATTCAATTGCCAAATTTTTAATCTAGTTTAGTCAATAAGTGCATCAACAATGATTACGTTATGACTCAAATAAAATGTCATCTGCTTTGTTAGTTCTTGCCTGCTTTGCCACATTGCATTCATTTACTGTGCCAACTTCTGTTGAGTTTATATTCTTAAACATTCATTTGATGTGCACACACACACACACACAAACACACACACACACAGTTTTCTTCATTGAAGGTCTTATTAATCCAACTTTGCAGTTCATTAGTGGTTGTGTGGAAAAAATATAGTCATTTTAAATTTCCTTTCCTCATAGAAATATATAAGCGTGATTAAGAAAAAACAAAAAATATGTAGAAAGTTCTATAATGACAAGGAAAATCTCTTGCCTATCTTTCTCTAGTCCTGTTCCCTAGGGACAAGTGGGCTCAAAAAATATTTGTGTAAACCTCATATTCCATCGTCCAAATTTGACAAATACCAAGAATTTACCATGCTGCTTATCTATTCCTCTTCTTTTTCTCTCTGTTTCAGTTGGACTATTTAAAAACAAAGTCGAGATGTAATTTTTTTCATCAATTTATACGTCAACATGTATAAAAAATTAACCATGAATTTCTTTAAAGGTATGAACATTTTCTTATGTAATATGATGCCTTTTTCTTATCTAACAAAATGCATTTCTTGATTTCATCTAATATCCAGCCCATCTTCACATTTTTCTACTTATCTCAAAATGAATTTTTCCCCAAAACTCTGAATCAAAATCCAAATAAGGGCTACATAATATTATGTATTATGTTTATTTGTTTTGTGTCTTCAGTATCAATCTAGAGCAATTTCTAGGGGGTAGTGACTGTACCTCATTAAACAAACCAATACTCATTTTATGTTATTATATCTCTATATAATACTCCTATACTTCTCTTTCTATGTATATCAATTGAAGGCATAACTTATTACTGTAATAGATATAAATACAACTCTTGTCTACCCATGCTTTTCTCTCCAGACCCTGCTAACATAGTATTTCATCTTTCTAAGGTATCTATTGATAATCTATGTATCATTAAGTAATATATTTAATTCCTTATTATGTCACACTAGAAAATATCTCATCTTCCACTTTGAAAATTGGTGTTAGGGCTTCTAGCGTTTGCTTCAGTGTTTTTCACACCCACCTTTCTAATTCTGAAATTTGAATTTTTTCTTCTATACAGTCAAGGTTAAGAACACATACTTTCTCTTCAGAAATTGTAGCTAGGTCTTCTTTACCTTCTCTATAAACTTATCTACAGGTTGATCCTAAACTTTGAAAATAAGTAAGTCATGTTTACGTTATTATGATAATGAAACCTCTCTCACTTCAGTAACAAATAGTATCAAATGACTGCAATTGTATCTATATATGGAGATATAGATATATAGATATGTCTTGGAGTTTTTCATGGACATTCTTTTTCTTTCAACTTTTTGCCTGCATAATAGTCGATTCCCCCCATCCCTATCTGTTTAATATTACATTATGTGTTAAGAACTGTTTTTTTTCTGTCTCTTTCAGAAAACCCAGTCCTACAATATAGACTCTTAATTCTCTAGAGAAATTATCATGAGACTTCATCTTATTGTTCTCCTTGTTTCCTGAACCCCATACCTTCATTTTTAAAAATAAATTTTCCAAGAACAATATCTGTAACATAAATTTTCTGTGTTCAAGCATATCTGAAAATATATTCATTCTACTCTCAAATTTGATTGATAGTTTTACTGTTTACAGTATTCTAAGCCCAAAAAAATCTAGGGTAAAAATGTCCCTAGATCTGTAATGTCATTCTTAGTCTGATATTGGACATTCAATACTTTTTATGAGAATTCTGCTGCTATTCTTAATCTCATTCTTTGTAGATAACTAGTTTTTCCTTTTTAGCACCTGCTCTTTATCCTTTGGGTTCTAATTGATTTCTAATTTTATTATCAGTGTTTTGGACACCTAGTGGATATTTCCATCTGGAATTTCAAATTCTTGAGATCTAGGGAATTATCTTTATGTGCTTATATTTTCAAATTAAATTTCTCTTCATTTTTTCCTTCCCCTAGAAATATTATTAACCAAACGTTAGAACTCCTGAATTGATTCTCTCTGACTCCTCTTTTGTTTAACGGTTTTTCTTTTGTATGCAGTTCTACTTTTGGAAGCTTTCTTTGACTTTGAATTTTAATATTTTTATTATTTTGAAAATTTTACCATTGTTTTTAATTTCAGTAGTATCTTACATTATTCACATTATCATGACCTTGTTTGATATCACATTGAATTTTTCTGAGAATATTAGTTAGAAATTTTTGTTTTAAGTGCATCTTCTATTCATCTCTCTCTTTCCTCTGTGGTAATTTTTGTGATGTTCTTTCAGTCCTATGATACAGGCTTTCCTGAAAAGTCTGGTGTCTACTGCCATTTGTTTATATTTTAGAATTAGGAAATAAAAAATTGACTAGAACTCAGTGGAAATAGAAGGAGCTTGTCAATTAACAAGCTTTAGTTTAAGCTGTATGTCAGGAGCTTTTGGGTGCAAGTAAAAGAACATTCACTTAAAGTGGCTTACACAGTATGGACCATCTATAAACATAGAGGTATGTTGTTCTAGGGTTAATTTATGAGTTTAGTGATGCTACTTAGGGCACAGACTCATTTTTGTCCTTCTTCTTTGCCATCCTTGATAAATTCACTTCAGCATTAAGCTGGTTCCCTAATCACAAATAACTGTGGCAATTCCAGGTATTCTGGGTAGATATAATAAATGCAATGAAGGAAAATAATGTTTTCTTCAGAGACACTTTACAACAGTGAGATAAACCTTTCCTAGAAGTCTCTTAATATCTCTCCACCTCCACTTGTTCAGAATTGAGCCAAATCGCATGCCTAAGATGTAAGAGAGTCTTCATAAGTAAGTACTTGGCATTGTAGCTTCTTGTGACAGCCATGCTCTGCCAATAAGAACAAGTTTACCTGGAAGATGACATAGGTGAAATTTGGGTGACAATCCCCGCAGCTACCACATGGATGATGGGTGAGGAAGCAACTAATGCACTGGAACCCTCAGGTATTTCTGTTTCATGAGTTTCCTTGGACTTTGGCCAAGTTCATTGACTCCTTTTTAGCTTTGTTTCTGTGAACATGCTAGAATATTCTGACAAATTTATCCCATTATTGTCATCAATGTAGATTTATGTCTGTTTACTAGTTGAATATCATTTTATTGGGGTTTTAGGAAGGAGAAGAGATTAACCTATGGATTCAGTCTGTCTGTCATCTTGACTTGGAAATGTAGAGTTTAATTTCAACAGGAGTTCTAATCGCCTACCTATCCTTTCCATTCACATGTAAGAAAAAAATTATTAGTTCATTATATTTTGTTACTTTCTCACAAATAACATCTCTTAGAAATTTCCTCAAAAAATTCAACAAAGACCTAAGGAGGTCTTTGCTCCTTTCAGAGCCGAGTCTTATATCCCTATACATTTCTTCTTGTAAAGATAATGTCAACTATCACTCCCAAAATAATTTCTCTCACTTGCCACTTTGTTTATGAGTATTTTTCCATCTTTGTTTATGAGTATTTTATGAGTATATTTCTTTCTGTATGATATTACTTATATTTGGATTCATGTCCCCACAGAAATCACCTCCATTAATCCCATGTCTACTTCTTTTTATCTAGAATAGTGACTTTTTCTTTAGTTTTCCTATACACATTCCAGATTCTTTTATGATGCAATATATTATTTTATAAATTCCAGGCCATTTGAAATACTCTGTTTAAAGATCAGTTCCTGTTATTCTGAAATTCATGTTTACAATGTAAATTAGAGGTTTAAAAAGAAGAAAGCTGTTCAGGATGAAAAACAAAAATTCATCTTATCTTTATTCTATAAACTCATGGCAAGCAGCAAACTCATCTAAATGCATATTTCATATTTGAATACTAGAAATATATGTATTTTATTAATTTCTATACCTATTTCAATAATAGTACTGATAATTGGAATGAGGAAAGACCAGACACTGAAACATCTTTTAAGGTGAGACAATATGACACTAATGTTAATATTTCTTAAACTTTAAAAAAATTCTACTATACTTAAGAAATATGCTGTTAACACTTTCTCTGAAAAGATATTCAAAAATGAGAATTTTTCCTGATAAAAATACTTGTACACACAGATAAGTAACTTAAAAGGTATAATAAAATATAAAATTTTAAAATACACTTTATATTTTAGGACATTTTTAAGTTCACAGCAAAATTGAGAAAAAAATAGAGTTTCCATATACCTCCTTTAAAGAAAAAAATACATTCCATCTGTACTAATATTTGAATCTTATTTTTTCTTTTTATATTACATGAGTTCCTCTAATTCCATACAGACTACAAAGTACATTGTACTATCATGATCAAATAAAAATCAGAAACATTTCTGGGTGCCATCAGTAGGTGACTGATTATGAACCTGAAAAGTGTTGTAGCAATCAGAGACACATCTAATCTGATTTTCCAAGGGATTGGGAAAGATACTTTAGACTAAAAAGCAATGCCTTTCACTGATAGTATTATAAGCCAGCCCCTGCATCTATTCTCCAGCTTTTGTGATCATTTATGACATTAAGGTTAGCAGTTCTCAACCAGTAACACTAAGGGAAAATCAATAGAAGACCAATGTGCATTGAAGAATAACTTCTTTTCTTTTGTTAACTAAGAAAGATAAAAATGTATCAAAATATTTGTAAAATATTTTTGAATAATATATTAACTTTTTAGAGTTTTTTATGATTATTTTTTATTTCAGTAGGTTTTTGGGGAACAGGTGGTGTTTGGTTACATGGATAAGTTACTTAGCGGTGACTTCGAGATTTTGGTGTACCCATCACACAAGCAGTGTA